>NC_000013.11:74468712-74620227 GCF_000001405.40 Homo sapiens | reverse complement strand
GAAATTAGCTATCCTGAAAAAGAAAACTATTTGAGTGCAAGTTATACGTTCTGTTATACAAGATTTGAGAGACACATCCAAGGACAGCTGAATGACTCTATCCATCAGTGAGAGAGTAATTTGAGGTTTATAAAGGGAAACTTGAGAGAGGGAGAGGGAATGAGAACTTGTCAGGGAAAAAGGTACAAAAGCAAAACTGTCTTTGACAGGGCTGCTAAGAAGCACCTTGACAGAACAGAAATGTCTAATAAGAATTTTCTTTTTGTTTTCTGGAAGGCATATCATATCAGCCTCTTTTTCTATTACAAAATCTTTCATAAACTAATGTGTGTGAGTGGAATTGTGTAGCAGAACATAAAGAGATGAAGTGGCTGACCTCTGGGTCACTGTGGGCCATGACAGCACAAAGGCAGACGGGACCAGGAGAAGGTAAGTCATCAATATCAGGACAGAGGTGCCTAAGAAAGCATCCTGAAGAAGGTGGTCTTTTAGCAGATTCTCCAACAAATAGGGAGATTCTCTTGTGGATTCCACAATTAACCTTTTTATCTAACCAGGCTTCATTTATCTTTGTATGTTCAATATTTTCCATCAACGCACATTTTATTGTGATGTGATGATGATTATGGTGCTGATGGTGGTAATGGCAGTGGTGGTGATGATGATGATGAGATTGGCGATGAAGACAACCCCTACCACTTTTATGGATGTATAATAGTTGTACATATTTTGGGGGTACATGTGCTATTTTGATACCTGTATACAATGTGCAGAGGTCAAATCAGGGTAACTGGGATATCCATCACCTCAAATATTTATCTTTTTTTGTGTTGGGAACATTGCGATTCTTCTCTTCTAGCTATTTTGAAATATACAATAAATTATTGTTAAGTATAATTTCCATGTTGTACTATTGAATACTAAAACTTATTCCTTCTATCTAATTGTATTTTTGTACCCCTTAATCAACTTCTGCCATTTTAGAATGCTTAATGTACTGTTTTTCATGAGTTTTTAAACTTATTTCTTGCAATAAACATGAAATGAGAAAATTGAATCTCAGAGGGATTTGATGAATTTTTTTATGCTATCAAGATATGAAATGGTAGATACAGAATTTGAACTTTTTTCTAAAATACAGTAAAAATTTCGTTTGGAATTTTTTACCTCAATGTTCTTTGTAATGGTACTTCTTACGAATGCAATATATGCCAAATCTCTTATTTCTTTTCTTTTCCCTACTCTGGATTTAATGTACTCATCTTTTTTCTAATTTCTTAAGGTAGAAGCCTAGATTATTGATCTTAGATTTTTTCTAATATAAATATTCATTACTATATATTTCCCTCTAAGTACTGTTTTTGCTGCATCTCACACATACTAATGGCCTATACTTTATGGCCCAGTATTTGGTCTGTTTTGGTCACTGTTTCTTGTGAGCTTGAAAAAAATGTGAATTCTACTATAGTTGAATGTCAGTTAGATCCAGCTGATAGATGGTGCTGTTTGGTTCATTACATCCTTATGATTTTCTGCTTGCTAGATCTGTCAATTACCTAAAGACAGTATTAAATTCTCCAACTGTACCAACTATTATAGTTAATTCAATTATTTCTTCTTGCATTTTTATCAGATTTTGTCTCACGTTTTTTTAAACTCTGTTTTTAGGTACATATGCATTAAGGATTGTCATGTCTTCTTGGAGAATTGACCCCTTTATCATTATGCAATGCCCCTCTTTATCCCTGATTATTTCCCTTGCCCTGAAGTCAGCCTTGTCTGTAATTAATACTGTTACTTCAGCTTTCTTTTGATGGGTATTAGCATAATATATCTTTCTCCATCCCTTTATTTTTAATCTATTTGTGGCTTTATACTTAAAGTGGGTTTCTCATAGAAAGAATATAGTTAGGTCTTGTTTTTTTTATTACCTACTCTGACAGTCTCTGTCTTTAATAGGTATAAGGATTAGACCATTGATATTTAAAGTGATTATGAATATATTTGTATTAATATCTATAATATTTGTAACTGTTTTCTATTAATTCCCCCTTACCTCTCTCTCTCTCTCTCTCTCTCTGCCCCACTCTCTTTCCCTCTCCGGTTTCAACTGAGCATGTTATATAATTCCATCTTTTTATCCTTTTAGCATATCAATTATACTTCTTTTTTATGCTTTAGTGGTACCCCTTGTGTTTGCAATATATATTTATGACTATATCCAAGTCTTCTTTCAAATAACATTGACATACTTCATAGGTAGTACCAGTCATCATAACAGAGTATTTTGAATTCCTTTCTGCTGTCCCTTAAACATTAATGTCATTCATTTCACTTATATAAGCAATAATCACTGAATACATTGTTGCTATTATTCTTTTGAACAAACTGTTATCAGTTAAATAAAATAACAATAAGAAAATAAAAGATTTTATTTTACCTTCATTTATTCCTTACCTAATTCCTTCCTTTATGTAGATCTGAGTATCTGACCTACATCAATTTTCTTCTTTCTCAAAAATTGTTTGAACATTTCTTGCCAGGCATGCCTACTGGTGTCAAATTCCCTCAATTTTTGTTTGTCTGAGAAAGTCTTTATTTCCCTTTCTCTTTTGAAGGACAGTTTTGCTGGATACATAATTCTAGGTTGGTGGGTTTTTTCTTTGAAAACTTTAAATATGTCACTGCACTCTCTTCATCCTTGCGTGGTTTCTGAGAAGTCCAATGTAATTCCTATCCTGTTCCTCTATAGGCAAATGTTTTTTCCTCTGACTTCTTTCAAGGTTTTCTTTGTCTTTGATTTTCTGCAGTTTATTCATGATATGCCTTGGTGTCACTTTTTTGGTATTTATTCTGCTTGGTGGTCCCTGCACTTTCTGAATCTGATTAATTTTGGAAAATTCTCAGCCATTATTATTTTAAATATTTTTGTTTTGTTTTTTTTTTTTCTTTCTTCTCCTTCTGATATTTTCATTATGCATATGTTGCACTTTTTTTTTTGAGACAGATTCTCACTCTATCACCCAGGCTGGAGTGCAGTGGCATAATCTTGGCTCACTGCAACCTCCGCCTCCCGGGTCCAAGTGATTCTTCTACCTCAGCCTCGGAGTAACTGGGATCACAGGCATCCGCCACCATGCCCAACTAATTTTTTGTATTTTTAGTAGAGATGGGGTTTCACCATGTTGGCCAGGCTGGTCTCGAACTCCTGACCTCGTGATTCACCCGCCTTGGCCTCCCAAAGTGCTGGGATTACAGGCGTGAGCCACTGCGCCCAGCCTGTTGTACCTTTTTTAAATGTCCCACCTTGGATACTCTGTTCCATCTTTTTCATTCTTTCTCCCATTTTGTATTTCATTTTGAAAGTTTCTATTGACATATCTTCTCACTGATTCTTTCCTTGGCTATGTCCGATGTCCATGACCATGTCCACTGAGGTGTTCTCCGTTTCTGAGGTGTTCTGAGTGTTTTTTTTTTTAATTTCTAGAATTTCCTTTAATTATTTTTAGAGTTTCCATCTCTCTGCTTACATTACCCATCTCTTCTTACCTGTTGTCCACTTGTTCCATTAGAGTCCTTAGCTTATTAATCATAGTTATTTTTAATTTCTGGTCTGATCATCCCAAAGTCTCTGCCATATCTGAATGTGGTTTGTTGTCTCTTCAGGCTGTATTTTTTGCCAGTTAGCATGCCTCGTCATTTGCTATTGAACACGAAACACCCTCTTCCTTGGGACTGAGGTAGATAGGACTTTTGTATGAGATTTTATGTTTATCTGGCTGGGAGTGGGACTGTTTTTCCTGTTTCCTTTAGTTGCAATATCAGAGGCTGAAATTTTCTGTAATGTGCTTGTTTTCATCTCCACTGTTGTCTTTGAGTTTTCCTAGATACTTTTTAAATCGACTCTGAGGCTTGCAGGTTTTCTAAGCTAAAATCCCCTGTTATCATACAGGAGCTCTATTGATGTGGTAGTAAAGTGTGCAGGGCAGAGAGGCATTATCGCTTTTTTTAGTGAGGCTGAGTTGGTATTTCCCTTTCCCTAGGTTGGTTAGATTTGGGTAAAACCCCAGTTAGTTAGGTGCTGATAGAGCAGTTTTCCCTAAGGTTCAGCCTTGGTTAAGGATAACAGGAAACTCTGGGCATATTTCAGAATGGTTGCATTTCCCCTTCTCTTGCTGGAAGCAGGTGAGGAGTTTTCTCAGATTTTCACAGTAAGAACCTGGTAGGGCGTTTGGAGGAAGATAAAACTCTCAAAGTTGTGGGGGGCCCTAAGGTTGGACCCCATGAACGTTTTTAACTTTCAGGCTAGTTCACACTGAGCCTCCAGCCTTTTATAAATGAGAGTTTAAAGTGTTCCTACTGATACTGGCTTCAGCTGTGGGCTTCCACGCCTGGGCCTCTGCTAAAGGTAAGCTGTGACTCTTACCTGCCTGTCTCTCCAGTTTTGTGGCGGTGGTTTGCTCCATGTACCGAACTGTCTGATGGATCTTAGAAGGGCTGTTGATTTTCAGTTTTTTCAGCATTTTTCTTGTTATGAGGACAGGAGTGACAACTTCCAAGCTCTTTATATGTTGGTTTGGAATCCCTAAGACTCTATTCTTTTTTATTCTTCATTAATGAACTGAATTTCTACTCTGTGCCATGGACATTGATGGTTGCTGATACTACAAAGGCAAACAAGATATGATCACTACCTTCAATGGACATAAATTATTCACTTCTATATCTTTTCTTATTTTTACCATATTTATGTTTGCTTTGCTTCACTTCCTGCAAACATCTGAGAACCACATTTTGTGCTTCTTTTATATCATTTCTATTTAGCAATCAGACTTCCGCCCTCCACCTGGTACACATTCATTCATTCTCTCATTCTTATGTTGGTTGAGTACTCTTCTCTCTTTACACTCTATATCTCAAAGGCTTCCTCTCATTAGTGCTTTACTTTAGTTGCTATTAGACACTGTGGCAACAAATGACTGGCTAGTAGTCTCAGAGATCAGAATAATAAGAGATGTATTGAGACATGGCCTCACTCCTCAGAGCTACAGCAGCAAGTAACTTATGAATACCAAGCAACTCATCAAATTGAAGGCACTGACAGCAATTTTGGAGGTAATCGGTAGTTCTCAACAGGTAAGAATCACCTCTTGCTTTTGAGTTGTTACAAGCAGACAAGACTTGGGAAACCACATTTTTTTTGTGGGGGGACAGAATCTCACTGTATTGCCAGGCTGGAGTGCAGTGGTGCAATCTCGGCTCACTGCAACCTCCACCTCCAAAGTTCAAACAATTCTCCTGCCTCAGCCTCCCAAGAGTAGCTGGGAATACAGGTGTACACCACCACACCCTGCTAATTTTTGTATTTTTAGTAGAGACGGGGTTTCACCATGTTGGCCAGGATGTTCTCAATCTCCTGACCTCGTGATCTGCCCGCCTGGGCCTCCCAAAGTGCTGGGATAGCAGGCATGAGCCACTGCACCTGGGCAGAACCGCATTTTAAGCTTCTGAAAATAACATATAAACTGGGTGCGGTGGCTCACGCCTGTAATCCCAGCACTTTGGGAGGCCGAGTGGGGGTGGATCACCTGAGGTCAGGAGTTCGAGACCAGCCTGACCAACATGGAGAAACCCTGTCTCTACTAAAAATACAAAAAATTAGCCGGGCGTGGTGGCACATGCCTGTAATCCCAGCTACTTGAGAGGCTGAGGCAGGAGAATCACTTGAATCCGGGAGGCGGAGGTTGCAGTGAGCCGAGATTGTGCCATTGCACTCAGCCTGGGCAACAAGAGCAAAACTCCACCTCAATTAAAAAAAAAAAAGAAAATAACACATAATACCATTATTGGGAAATCAAAGGCCAAGTATATATAAATAAATGTGAATTTATTTACATTTGGGACTCCCAGATGCCCTAATTACACTGAGAAATAATATATTTTAGGAATATGTACTCTTATCAAGCATTTCACATTAAATGGTTTTCATTTCTCTGCTCATCAAAATTTTTTCTCATGTTAGCTTCTTGAGAAGAAAATATGAACATAATTTTGAAAATTTTTGATAATTTTAATATACACTTTCTGATTTACTATACCATTTCCAGTTTATAAATCCAGAAAAGGTATTACCATATTTTATCAGTCTTTTTAAAAAGTCTTATAATCAGTGTTTTGTCATAATTGAATGGACAGTGGCTTCTTTTCTTATAAATGGCAGATTCGACTAATGTTTTATAAAATATATACATTACATTTAATGAAATGTACTGTTTTAATATATCCTGAGCATTTAATTTTTGTCACACTTTTTATTTTCAAATATTTCACTTCTATAAAAAAAATCACACCTAATGAAAGCTAGGTGAAATAAAGTTATTACATGAGACAAATGTACCCAGAGAAAATTAAATTTATTCTTTAGGCCTCACAAAAACTTCACATTGAAAGGATGAGATGTATGAAGGAAAGAAAAGAAAGTAAATATATAGATTTAGAACAAGCAAGATGGACAGAGTAGCCCAAATAACAGTTTTTAAATAAGGTAATAAATTTAAACCCAACTATACTAGTTAATTACATTAAATGTTAAAGAATTAACTGCTCCAATACAAGCAGGAAAAATATTCATCTTATTATCACTAACAAAAGGAAGCTTATATGTTCAAAAGTTCAAGAATAAAATCAGTACCAATTTTGCAAATACTCTAAACTGTACTGTTAGATAAGACTAACAAAGAGGATGGCCCCAAATTGGTTCATCCAGCATTATCTCAAACCTACTTCTAAACCATGGATAAAAAGTGGAGAATCCAGGAGTGGAGATAAAGGATCTGGAGAGAGAAAGTAGATGTTGTCTGTGTGCATTATGTTTATCTAGTTTCTCTTTCATATTCATGGTGTGTGGTAGTGTTTCTTCTACCTGCAACTCAAGGCAAATCACTAGTGGTAGTTGGAGGGGGTGGGGTCAAGAAAATCTCTTAGGGAGTTTGATTTGGTGTACTTAGCATTCATTGAACAGCAGTGCATGATACTGGATACTTGTCTTATACCTGAAGAGTCTAAAAGCAAGAGCTATTCTGATGGCAGACTTCCCTGGAGCCATGAAAGTATGTTTTCCGTGCACCAACTGTAGACCCAGTTAGAGGAAATTAGATTGGTCATTGTGAAAGGAATTTCACTCGAAGAATGTCAGGAAAGGCAACAAGTGTTCCACAGTGGATGAACCATGGAAAATAAGAGACTGAGGATGGACTTATAAGTGTCCAACTTGAAAACATCACATATATTAAGGTATTTACAGGAGAGGGGTCTGCAACAGGAACCCATAAAACCACAAAGAGGTAGACCAACCACTTGGAATCCTCCATACTCAGAGGGCTTTAAGGCCTACACCAGTTGAGTAAGACATTCTGCCATATGTCCTATGTCACATTTGTTTAGTAGCTCAAATTCTGGAGCAGCTAGATGAAGGCTAGTGAGTGATCAGAAAGAGTAGAGAGTTAGGTAAGAAAATAAAGACATTTCATCATACCTGCATATCCCCAAATATAGCTGAGGGAGGATAGAAGATTTAACAAAGATGGTTTGGAGTCATATGATTATTAGACTGGATTAAATTGTTTATTATCTGAAACTGACAGAAAAGCTATGAGAAATGGCTGAGATTTCATCTAAGGGATTGAGGAGTGGGGATGTGGTATAAGCTGGGAGAATAGATTTAAAGGAGTCATCTTTGGAATGACAGGAATTACCTTGTGCTTATGTCCTATGAAGCCCAGTTAATTCAATAAGCCAGTTACACATACAGTAAGACCACCATCAGTAAACATGAACACTTGAGTTAAACTTGATTGTGTTACAGAAGGATCTGGGTATACAGAACCCCTAAGAATGCAAAGGTCCATCATTTTAAAATGTGAAATAAAGTCACAGTACTACTGGGTCTTTTGTGCATTGCTGGGACCAATTTTTGGCACAGAAAATAACTTCTCCTTTTATGGGATGAGACTGCCAATTTCTCTTTAAACAGATGGCTGTTATATCATTATTCAACATACCTTCCCTTGACACTTCTGTCTGCCAATTATTGCGGCAAATATAGTCTTTTATTTTGGGTAAATTACTGAGATACTTTTTGAGACACAGTATCCAGAGGTGTGAAAGATTTCTATTTCTTTATCTACCTACTAATCAATCTACACCTGAAAGTAGGTGCAAGATAAACTGAGATTGATTTCAATTATTGATAAATCACAAAGAATACCATAAACCATTTCATGATTGATCTTGGAGACTTTTTCAAACCCTCTTTGGAGTAGAATAAGATTCCTACTTTAGATGACCACTAATTGGCTAGTGTATTAGTCCATTCTCACCCTGCTATGAAGAAATACCTAAGACTGGGTAATTTATAAAGAAAAGAGGTTCAATTGATTCATAGTTCTGCATGACTGAGGGGGCCTCAGGAAATTTACAATCATGGTGGAAGGTACCTCTTCACAGGGTGACAGAAGAGAGAATGAGTGCCAGCAGAGGAAATGCCAGATGCTTAAAAAACCATCAGATCTCGAGAGACTCACTCACTATCATGAGAACAGCATGGGGAAACTGCTCCCATAATCCAATTACGTCCACCTGGTCCTGCCCTTGACACATGGAGATTATAATTCAAGATGAGATTTTGGGTGGGGTCACAGCCAAACCATATCATTCTGCCCCAACCCCTCCCAAATCTCATGTCCTCACATTTCAAAACACAATCATGCCTTTCCAACAGTCCCCCAAAATCTTAGCCCATTCAAGCATTAACCCAAAAGTCCAAGTCCAAAGTTTCATCTGAGATAAGGCAAGTCCATTCCACTTAGGAGCCTGTACAATCGAAAGCAAGTTAGTTACTTCCTAGACATGATAGGGGTACAGTCATTGGGTAAATATACCCATTTCAAATGGTAGAAAGTGGCCAAAACAAAGGAGCTATAGGCCCCATCCAAGCCAGAAATCCAACAGGGTAGTCATTAAACCTTAAGGTTGTAAAATGATCTCCTTTGACCCCATGTCTCACATCTGGGTCACACTGATGCAAGAGATGGATTCCCAAGGCCTTGGGCAGCTCTGCCTATGTGGCTATGCAGGGTACAGGCCCCCTCCTGGCTGTTTTCATGGGCTGGCGTTGAGTGACTGTGGCTTTCCCAGGCATGTAATGCAAGGTGTTAGTGGATCTACCATTCTGGGGCCTGGAGAGCGATGGCCATCTTCTCACAGATCTGCTTGGCAGTGCCCCAGTGGATACTCTGTGTTGGGGCTCTGACCCCACGTTGCCTTTCCACACTGCTCTAGCAGAGGTTCTTCATGAAGCTACTGCCCCTGCAGCAAACTTCTTCCTGGACATCCAGGCATTTCCATACATTCTCTGAATTCTAGGCGGAGGTTTCCAAACCTCAATTCTTATCTTCTGCGCACCTACAGGACCAACACCACGTGGAAGCTGCCAATACTGGAATCTTACGTCCTCTGAAGAAATGGCCAGAGCTGTACCTTGGCCCCTTTTAACCATGACTGGAGCAGCTGGGACACCAAGTCCCAAGGCTGCACCCAGCAGGAGGGCCCTACACCCAGCCCAGGAAACCATTTTTTCCCTCCTAAGCCTCTGGACCTGTGATGGGAGGAGATGCTGTGAAGCTCTCTGACATGCCCTGGAGACATTTTCTCCATTGTCTTGGGCATTAACATTTGGCTTCTCATTACTTATGCAAATTTCTGCCATTGGCTTGAATTTCTCCCCCGAAAATGAGCTTTTTTTTCTATTGCATCATCAGGCTGCAAATTTTTCAATCTTTTATGCCCTGTCACCTCTTAAATGCTTTGCTGCTTAGAAATTTCTTCTGCCAGATACCCTAAATCATCTTTCTCAAGTTCAGAGTTCCACGGATCTCTAGTCTCTCTGCCAAAGCATAGCAAGAGTGACTTTTATTCCAGTTCCCAACAATTTTCTCATCTTCATATGAGACCACTTCAGCCAGGACTTCATTGTCCATATCACTATCAGCATTTTTGTCAAAGCTATTCAACAAGTCTCAAGGAAGTTCCAAACTTTCCCACATTTTCCTGTCTTTTTATGAGCCCTCCAAACTGTTCCAGCCTCTGCCTGTTACCCACCTTCAAAGTCGCTTCCACATTTCTGGGTATCTTTATAGCAGTGCCACACTCCAGGTACAGATTTACTGTATTAGTCTGTTCTCACACTGCCATGAAGAAATACCTAAGACTGGGTAACTTATAAAGAAAATAAGTTTAATTGACTCACAGTTCCATATGGCTGGGGAGGCCTCAGGAAACCTACAATCATGGCAGAAGGTAACTCTTTACAGGGTGGCAGGAGAGAGAATGAGTGCCAGCAGGGGAAATGCCAGACACTTATAAAAACATGAGATCTCATGAGATTCACTCACTATCATGACAACAGCATGGGGGAAACTGCCCCCATGATCCAGTTACTTCCACCTGGTCCTGCCTTTGACACGTGGGGATTATAATTCAAGATTAGGTTCGGGGTGGGAAAACAGCCAAACCATATCAACTAGATACTGAGGCAGACATTGCAATAAGAACCTAGACTTCCACAATTGAAAGGAATTATTAAGATCATCTATCTCCCAGGTAATGAAGAAATCCAAACTCAAAGCTATTTCAGGTGACTCGTGGATATTTTGTAAGCAGAGTAGAAAAAGAGGAGGTTGACATCAAGATGCTTTACTTTTTTTGCTACCTGAGAATTGTTTTTTTCTAGATAGACTTTTTCTTGGACAATAATTTCCCACAAAATGGAAAATAAGCTTAGAGTAACTCTAGGCTTGTATCATCCGCAGGAAACCATCTAAGAAAAGAGAGTGCCATTTTCACAATAATTCCCAAAAAAGTCCTAAGGAGGACTCTGGCTTGTGTCATGGAGCCTCTGCCTGGAGTCAGAGGTGGTATTTGGTTTGGATCCAGAGGTGGGGGATGTGGTATAAGTTAGGGGAGTAGATTTAAAGGAGTTATCTTGAGAAAAATGGAGTTACTTTGTGCTTGCATCCAAAGGAGTCCAGTTAATTCAACAGACCAGCTATACTTACACAATGGCACCACCAGCAGGAAACATGAAGACTGGGGTTCAAGTTGATTATGATACAGAAGGATCAGCCCCACTTGAACTACAGGAACTAAAGATGAGAACAGGGATCTGACCCAAAGAGACTCTTACTAAATGAAAGCTTATGTTCACTATGCTAAGGGATATTTTTGGTGACTTTTATTTTAAAATTTTCTTTCTCTCCTGCTTATTTCATCTTTCCTTCCTCCATTAAATTTCTTAAAGGTCTCCCAGAACCAAGTGGATAGTGGCAGCTCTACCAAATGATATCTCTTGCATCTTGGTTTCCAAGGAAAAAAAACTTCTAAAAACATTCCAAAGAATTTCTTGAAAGTTAGAGAAATTCCTAGAATCTCAGGGGTTGACAGGACCTAGTATTATTCCTAACTTCATCACTCCTTTCACTGTGGATTTGGAGATTATGACATTGTGGTTTAGTAGCAGGTTCATGACCTATAGGTCTTGAGACCCTGATTCCATATTTTTATTTCAGGATTTAACAGTTTAAATGAATTAGAGACTCTGATTCAGGGTATCCTCTTGAACTATTGTTGAACTTTGCTTCATAGTTTCAGGAAAGACACTTAATGCCAAAGAAACACATACGACATCTCTAGGGTATTGAAAATTCAGAAATGAGAAATGATTTTACCAGGAGACCAAAGCCCCTCAAATGCAAGTGAGATTGGCCCTTCTGTAGAACATGCAGTCTTATAATATCTAAATGTATGGTGGTCATATATTCCAGATGTTAAGGGTCAATTCTAATTTTAAATATTTTATTCCATTGTCCTTGTAAGTGTATTCATACTGTCAGATGATGTATCTGGGATAGGAACTCATATAATATGGCCCGTAGAGTTAAAGCTAGATCCTTGGTAAATTTATTTAATCAGAAGTTCCTACATTCTACAAGTTTCAAGGGAACTCTTAGTCCTTATTTCTCAAGCAAATTTAAAGGTTTCTGTGGAAGCAAGCAGCATGCAGTTTTACTTGATGATAATTACCCTGATTCTCTAGCATACACCAAGGCATCTTTGCTGTGAGAGACACATCTTGTGTCATTTCCCTGACTCAGAGAAAGGTTTTGAGAAAAGGTCAGTGACTACCCAGGTGAGTTCAATCTGTATAGGCAAGTGGATGAGAATAAAATTGAATTCAGTTTTCTTGTCAACGTAATCCTCTACCTTGACTGCATATTTGAATCACCTAAGAGCTTTTGAAAATTACCGATTTATTTCCCTTTATTTCCACCCCAGACCATTAAATGAGAATCTTTGGGGGTGGGGAAACCTGATAATCTTCCCAGGTGATTCTAATGTCTGATCAGGGTGGAAAACCAGGGTTTGAGAAATATACAAACACCAGATATAAAATCTGTGTTAAGCTAATTGAAATGGAAGTTGCCAATTGAAGAAGAGAAGATTTTGGTAAGCTTTTTTCTACCACTTATTACGCATGTAATATGTATGTGCACTATTCTAGAGACTCTTTAAAACATGCCTGTGACAAAGAAATAATTATCTTCCTTTTGATAACTGAAGAAACTGATGACTAACCAGAACAAATGGCTTGAACAAGATCACACATTGGTAAGTGGCAGAGATAGGCTGTGACTTCATGGTTGATTGACCCTAAGGAGCCCATGGAAGGCAGGGTCTGTGTCTTACTTATCTTTCAATGTCCCCCACTTCCTATTGTACCCAATCGCAGCCTCTAGCAAAGCATCTGCTAGAATAGGGCTTTGTAAAGATACACTTGATTTAGCAAAATGGACTGTGGCTGTCCTGCCATGCATACATGGGCATGGATAAGGTAGTACTTTTTTTTCCCCCTGCATAATCTACATCAAATACATCTTCAGAATAATCAGTCAAGTCAGCCTATGAGTCCAACTGATACCTGGCTAAGAGAGACATTTTGGTGTCTTCAGTACAGCTTGGGCCTAGGCACGTTATCCTGACAAGGACCAGGAAGAAGGCTGGTCAGCTCAGGACAAGGGAAGGTCTTGGGCAATGGTAGAGACAAGGGCACATCTAGGAACACATAGCCAAGGAACATTAGATTCAAGTCCAGAACTCGGTTTGAGTGTAAGTAATGAGTTACATGAAGGCCAAAGTGAGATCAAGATCTCACGAAGTCACTGTTTGAGAAAGCAACCTTGAAGTCAATGCTGATGTTGGCAGTACATTTCCAGAGTATATTTATATTTGTCGAAGTTGTGTGACATGAGAAAAAATTGTTGGCTATTTGTTGAAGGTTTATTGTTTCTATTGCCTATCTGAGCTTCCTCTGAAAGGAATCAGAATATGCCACTCCAAAATTATGCTACATTGGCATAAGAATTACTCTGAGCTAAAGACAATTGAGACTCAACAGGACAAGAAAAGTTTTCTACCCTTTAAGGCTTTATCTGCCTAAAAGTAAGGCATGTATTGCCTTTGAGAAAGGTTCCTTCCTCAAATCAGGGAGAGAAGAGCTACTGTTCTCATTGAAGACAGAGACAACATCAAGATGAGTATGCATAAACAGACTGTAATAAAATAGCCCTGTCTTCATTACTTCACCCGTATACTTTTATACGTCCTAGTCACTTGAAACCTGATAAAAAACAAAAATCAAAATCATAAAAAATTTGTTATAAACATATAATTGGCTTTTTCTTGAATCATTTCAAAGTGAATCACCTTATATGGATGACACAGAAGAGACTGCCTTATGGCGGCTCAGGAGTCCCTTCAGACTGGCCGCTGTGAATTTTCTGCTTTTTGGAGGACTGGCCCATTTTAAAAATCGATTACATGACACCTAGTTCCAGGAACTCCATTCTGGTTTGGTTATTTCAAACAATGGCCTCCCATAAACTTTGTTGAGCAAATCTAAGCGTGTTTTCCTTCATTAAGAAGGCAAATAAGCCCCTGAGTCTAATCTCTTCCATTCTAATCAACATATTTTTTTGTAAACCCCAGTGCATGTAAATATTAATAAGAAGCATGTGCTTTAAAAAAACATCTCACCAGGAAGGTGAGAAGCAATTGTTTTCCTATCAATTTTAGGTAATCAGCATTAGGATGCTCTCGTAATCAGTTCAGGAGCCAAAGGGCCCAGAATCAGAAGCCAGGTGCTAGAAGCCTGAAAGCATTGCAGTGACCCAGCAGTTGGGATGCAGGTCTGGACACTGGGAGATCAAATAAAATTAAATCCTGTAAATATTTGTCACATAGCTATTAGGTGCAAGCCACTAGGTACTGTAATGCAAATGCAAAAGTGAATGAGACACAGACTTCATCCTGAAGGAGGAAATAATCGAATAGAGGGACAGAAGGAAAGGGTGTTATGGAATACCATTGAGGAGATAAGTGAAGATGTGTTAACGAGTTATTAGTAATAAAAAATGTTTCATGGAAGAGGTGAAATAAGAAATGTGCCTTAAGGCTGGGTGTGGTGGCTCACGCCTGTAATCCCAGCACTTTGACAGGCTGAGACTGGTGGATCACTTGAGGTCAGGAGTTCGAGGCCAGCCTGGCCAACGTGGTGAAACCCCATCCCTACTAAAAATACAAAACTTAGCCAGGCATGGTGGTGTGTGCCTGTAATCCCAGCTGAGGTGGGAGGAGGGGGGAGGGAGAGGGGGAGAAGGAGGAGGAAGAGGAGAAGGAGAAGGAGGATGAGAAAGAGGAGAAGAAGAAGAGGAGGAGGAGGAGGAAAGAAATGTGCCTTGAACAATAGGTAATATTTTGATAGGCATGCTTGGGGTGAAATGAGAATTTTTAAAAAGTAGTTGGAGATCACAGACCTGTTAAACAAAATTTGAAGGACAGGCTTCAGATTTTGGAAAACTGTTATTGCCAAAGTCAAAGACATCAGCAGCATGGCTGACTTAAGTGGGAATTTTTAAACCCATTCAGGGAATGGTGGGAGGCAAAGGCAAATGGCCAGGTTCTTGCTTTGAAGGGACTGTGCTCTATCCCTGAGCCACTGGCATACCCTTCAGAACATAGCACACATAGGACTCAAGAAAGTTTGACAGATAAATTTTTGTCAGAGATCAGAGAACATACGAGGGCACTCAAAATTCAATGTTGCTTAAAAGTTGGGTTTTTTCAACCACTGAAAACACTAGCACCAGAGCATCTTTGTGAGCAGATGTATATTTTAGACAACATTTTCCTTCATATGGTGAAAAGAAATTATTTCTTTTCCTGCTCCCTTAGCTTTCTAATGAGCTTAATGTCTAGAGCAGCGACTTGGGGGAATTGCTTAGCTTAAACATTTTGAACTAAGAGTAGAGATTTTTTACACTTGCCTGTGACTTTTAGCCATGAGTCAAACTGTTATTACTGCAACAACAAAATATTTTTATCTGACCTTACTATTGTTAAATTCTGATTTGCAGTAATAAATAAATGAGTAAATAAAATTAAATGAATTTTTAAAATTAAGATGGTATTTTAATGATCATGAGTGATCTTTTCCAGGGATATTTTCTATTCAAAACATTATTTCTGCATGTTTGAGATGTATACCATCATTGTGAGTTCTCGATTTTTATAAGTTAGCTGTATATCAGAAGACTCTTACCCTTGTGTGATAAATATGGACATTTTGGGCACCATTTTTCTCTCAGACATTGAGATTACTTTTTATATTTCATCACGTCACAGCAATCTCAAAATTGGTAGCAAGTACTTCCTGTGTTACCATTGAAAAAACAGCAGGAATCTCAGTTTGATGTCAAATTGTAGCCATTCACTCATTTGCCATTTGGCAAAGGATTTCATCCATTGTGATTGTACCCTAGCAACTATACTGATTACCTGTCAATTTCCTAATTCTAAACACCTAGGAAACCTTGGTTACCATAGAAATTACTTTTCCACCTATGTACAGTTTAACTCAGCTAGGTTATTTTTACTAAGAGATTCCAAATTTGAGCATTTTTAAGCTACATTCATATTTCCCTTAAATACTTCACATTTCTAGAATTCTACTCTCTCTCTGGGTAAAGTTACAATTTATGTGAACACAGTACAATTGTAAAGGTCAGCCATGGAGGAGCTTTGTGAACTTGGATGTGCGTTCTGATCACCTGGAGACCTTGTTCAAATGCAGGCTCTGATTCAGTAGATCTGGAGTGGGGCCTGGAATTCTGCATTTCTAGCAGGTTCCCAGATAATGGTGTTGCATTAATCCTCGGATGACATTGTAAGGCTCAAGGAGGTGCTGGATCAGTTTTGTTGTTCTTTAGAAATTTTAATTGATTTAAATTATTCCAATAGCATTTTGTATTTGATGTTTGGAAACATACAAAAGTTTTACATGTTTCTTCTTTCAGTTGGTCATGAAATAAGTTAATAGAGCAAAGATACTCATGATTATGCTAGTTTGGAAATTGAGAACAATGCAAATTAAAAACAAAGTAGAAAACACCATATGGTTGTATCTATCACATTAGCAAAGAACAAGTCATGACATCTTCCCTTGGGATTTCAAGAACAGCATTTATCATAGGTATAAATTCTGCTAACATTCATCATAGTATAAATTCTGCTAACATAGTCTCTTCAAGGCAGGACTGTAAGAAAGAACTATCTCTAGTAGTAGAAATGTTTATTTCATCATTCAAAAAATATGGAGCTCCTTTGAATTTTTTTTCTCCTAGCCCCAAATTTAAATATAGAACACTGGTTTTCATAGTATTAATAATAAGGTTGGTATCTGACTCCAAAATCATTCTTCTAGTGTTAAGCTGGTAAAGTGTTATTTCTACAAGAATAAAAAATATTTTATAACTCCACCTCTGCAAACCAAGTAGAAATGTACAGGTAAGATTTCAGTTGTTTGGAGGCTGGAGAGCTCTTCTCCAAGGAACGATTTATAGAGCTCGAATCAAGGCCCTTTTCTCAGTGTAGCTGGAGGAACCCTTGCGCAGACACTAAAATTGACAGACGCAATTTTGAGGCCAATCACTGTCTGTTTTTGTCTTTTTTTATGTTGTTTGTTTGTTTTGTTTTGTTTTGTTTGCTGAGATGGTAGCATCTAGCTGAATGCTTCTAATTCTTGTTTTCTGTAACTAAGTCTTCAATGGCTCAAATTTAAAATGTAAACAAGACCAACAGAATAAACAACTCAGCCTTTGGCTCTCCCAGCTGGAATAATAGTAATGATTTTAGATACTGCTTGTTCAATAGCTTAATACTGGTAATGTTGCTTCCCATTTGAATTAATGTTCTTATGCAGTAGATACTCTAAAGCACATAAGGCCTCAATGCTATGTACTTAAATGTAAATATTATGAACTGTTCCTTAAGGAATTATGAAGTCAAAGATAAACACACTGTGCCAAGAGAATCTTTGCTTTATGTTCACAGTGAGACTATGGTGCCTTTAACAAAATCTTCTATCACACCCTAGTCTATCCAAAGCAATCTTTAAAGATCCTACTATCAAAAAGAAAGGAGAAAGAAAATCTTCTTCGTATTCATATCTAAATCATGTATTCAATTTTAAAAGGGTCAAAATTTTGATGATAGTTTAATTTTTCAATGTTGCTTTCATGGCTCCCCATCATTTTCTGTTCTTGTGCTCCATCTCTTGATAAGCTTCGTGCTTGCCTTTTCTTTTCCTTTACCCCAAAAGACATGCGGCTTTACCTTGGCAGTGCCTATTTGAAATGTTTTGATGGTCCTCCATCAGTTAGAGTCCAAATACCATAGAACAGTGTGACAACTGTCTCCTTCAAAATCTTTGTTCCTAGAAAACCAGCTGTAATCATATTTAAGAACTTTGATAATGCCTTTTCTGCTTAAGAAGTAAGCTTCTGGGTTTTTGGCCATTACTTAAATATTATCAGGGATCTGAAAGCAAGCATAGATCATTGTTTTGCCTGCAGAACCAACTCAGCTCTCCTACCAATTTATTTACATCCTTTTCCCTCCATCAAAACCTGTGCTTCTTACAATTTCATGTGTATTTTATTCATGTTAATTACAAAAAGAGCTAACACTGGATGCAGCATAAAATATTTTTAAAAAAATCTTTAATGCATACATGAATATAATTCTTTTTCTTTGGGTAGATTTTGTGGATGAGAGTTAGGAATTAATTTGTCGCTGAAGGTTTGTCAACAATATGTAGACCTTGAGAAGACTTGCCTTTAAATACAGTACATATTGGGTACATAATGCTTTGAAACACTAGGCATTTTTTAAATTATGAAATATGTTCATACCTTATCAGAGTATGTAAACCTTATATATATTTTTTCTTTATTTATAACAATAAAGACAACATCAAAGTAGCCAAAATCCTTATTAGGAAATAAGCATTACCAATAAGTTAGAAGCTTCTGATCTCTTTCATTGCATATCCTTCCCTTTCTATCCCTAGTAACTACCATCCTCACTGACGTGAGAATAGTAGCTTTTTATGATTTTAGTATCTATGTATGTGCCCCCAACAATATATTGTATGGTTGTGCTTACTTTTGAACTTGAGTGGAATTGAGTCACGTATTGCTTACTCACTATTATGTTTGGGAGATTAATCACTGGTGATACTAGTAGCTGTCGTTCATTCATTTTTATTGTTGTTTTATGCCACCGAATGATTATATCCCACTTTGTGTATGTGATCTACTGTATTTAGATCTATGCTGCTGTGAATTTTCTTATACATGTCTTCTGGTCCACATGAATAAAAGTTTATCTGATTTGATTTATTAAACATAATGATAGAATTAACGGGTCATGGGGCATGTGTGTTTCATATTCAGGTAAAATCAAACTTTTTTCGAAAGAAGTTCTGTGTGGAATCTAAAAAAGCCAATCTCATAGAAACAGAATAGAATAGTGGTTACCAGAGGCTACTAGCGGGGAGAGTTGGGGAAAGGGGAGATGTCAGTCAAAGGCTACTAGTGGGGAGGGTTGGGGAAAGAAGAGATGTCAGTCAGTTAGATAGGAGAAGTAAGTGTTACGGATCTATTGCATAGCATGCAGCATGGCGACCACAGTTAATAATATGTATTGTATATTTAAAAATTGCTAAAAGAAAGATTTTAAATGTTCTCACTACAAAAAAATAAGGAGATGATATTGCCTAGGTTTACTTCTAGGGTTTTTGTTGTTTTAGGTCTTACGTTTAAGTCTTGAATCTATCTTGAGTTAATTTTTGTATAAGGTGTAAGGAAGGGATCCAGTTTCAGCTTTCTGCATATGGCAAGACAGTTTTCTCAACACCAGTTATTAAATAGGGAATCCTTTCCCCATTGCTTGTTTCTGTCAGATTTGTCAAAGATCAGATGGTTGTAGATGTGTGGCGTTATTTCTGAGGCCTCTGTTCTATTCCATTGCTCTATATATCTGTTTTGGTACCAGTACCATGCTGTTTTTGTTACTGTAGTCTTACCATTCGGGACATAGGCATGGGCAACGACTTCATGACTAAAACACCAAAAGCAATGGCAACAAAAGCCAAAATTGACAAATAGAATCTAATTAAACTAAAGAGCTTCTGCACAGCAAAAGAAACTATCATCAGAGTGAACAGACAGCCTACAGAATGGGAGAAAACTTTTGCAATCTACCCGTCTGACAAAGGGCTAATATCCAGAATCTATAAAGGACTTAAACAAATTTACAAGAAAAAAACAACCCCATCAAAAAGTGGGCAAAGGATATGAACAGACACTTCTCAAAAGAAGACGTTTATGTGGCCAAGAAACATGAAAAAAAGCTCATCATCACTAGTCATTAGAGAAATGCAAATCAAAACCACAATGAGATACCATCTCATGCCAGTTAGAATGGCGATCATTAAAAAGTCAGGAAACAACAGGTGCTGGAGAGGATATGGAGAAATAGGAACACTTTTACACTGTTGGTGGGAGTGTAAACTAGTTGTGGAAGACAGTGTGGCAATTCCTCAAGGATCTAGAACCAGAAATACCATTTCACCCAGCAATCCCAGTACTGGCTATATACCCAAGGGATTATAAATCATTCTAGTATAAAGACAAATGCACATGTATGTTTATTGCAGCACTGTTCACAATAGCAAAGGCTTGGAACCAACCCAAGTGACCATCAGTGATAGACTGGGTAAAGAAAATGTGGCACATATACACCTTGGAATACTATGGAGCCATAAAAGAGGATGAGTTCACATCCTTTACAAGGACATGCATGAAGCTGGAAACCATCATTCTCAGCAAATAATCCAAGAACAAAAAACCAAACACCGCGTGTTCTCACTCATAAGTGAGAGTTGAACAATGAGAACACATGGACACGGGGAGGGGAAGATCACACACAGGGGCCTGTCAGGGGTAGGGGCTAGGGGAGGCATAGCATTAGGAGAAATACCTAATGTAGATGACGGCTTAATGGGTGCCACAAGCCACCATGGCATGTGTATACTTATGTAACAAACCTGTACGTTCTGCACATGGACCCCAGAATTTAAAGTATAATTAAAAAAAAAAGAATGTCAAAAAAAAAAAGGAGATGAGGTGATGGAAATGTTAATTAGCTTGATTTAATCTTTCTACAATGTACACATATATCAAAATATCAGATTGTATGCCATAAATATATCCAATCATTATTTGTCAAGTAAATAAAGAAAGATGTTTTTCAATTCACGGTCCATCTACTAATATATAAAAATTTCTATTGATCCATATCGCCTCCAATTTTTAGTAATACACAGACTTAAATTTTTGCTTGTCTGGTGGGTGTGATATGGTAACCCCTTTTACTTTTTATTTACATTTCCTGATTATTACTGATCTAGTTCATTTTCCAGTGTTTTTTGTTAATTTAAGTTTCCTCTTCTTTGAAGTACCTATTGCCCAGTTTTCTATTGAACTGTTTGAAATTTTCTTTCAAGTTGTAGTCCTTTCTACACTTTATGCAATATAACTGTATTCTTAGAGTTTGTAGCTCGACTTTTCACTTCCTTTAGGGTGTCTTGATGGGCAGAAAAATCATATTTGTAGTATAAACAAACTTATCACTCTACATGTCGTTTTTCACAATTCGTTTTTTAAACTACTCAAAGTTAATGTTTTGGTTTGGTAAGAGTTTGAAATATAATTTTTCTCGTTTGTTCAGTGCATTAGCATCATTTATTGTAATGACCATTGGACCTCCCCCACTTAATTTCCAATAGCAAATCTGTCAAGCAACAAGTGTACTTATATGCATGAGTTTGCTTCTGGGATAATTCAGTTTCATTGATCTGTTTGCCTAATATGATAATTTAACTGGAGAAGGGAGAAGTAGAACAGGACAAGAAGGGGAAAAAACATAACTAATTTTACGGTTGTGATATAAGTATTTGGACTCTTCATTTTTCGACACCAAATGCATCAGTACATAAACCAATTGGGCAGAACCAGATAAACAGATAAACAGAACCAGATATGTAATTTGGAGGGCCCAGTGTAAAATGAAAATTCAAGGTCGCTTGTTAAAAAATTATGAAGGCTGGAAACGGTGGCTCATGCCTGTAATCCCAGCACTTTGGGAGGCTGAGGCGGGCAGATCACCTGAGGTCAGGAGTACAAAACCAACCTGGCCAACATGGTGAAACCCCATCTCTACTAAAAATACAAAAAATTAGCTGGGTGTGGTGGTGCATGCCTTTAATCTCAGCTACTAAGGAGGCTGAGGAGGAGAATTGCTTAAATCCGGGAGGCAGACATTGCAGGGAGCCAAGATCATGCAACTGCACTCCGGCCTAAGCGACAGACAGATCAAGACTCTATCTCAAAAAAAAAAAAAAAAAAAAGAAAAGAAAAGAAAAATTATGAAGAAGTTCAAGATGGCAGCAGCAGAGCATTAAGCCAAACCTGGGACCCTTCTGAGTATGGGGTCTCAAGCACCTCATGTATCACACATGCAGGAAGTCAATTCCACAGACAAAATATGATGAGATTGTTCCCTTTTTATGAGAGCTAAAAAATGATACAAGAATAAGTCTCAGCTTCTTACAGGAAGATATTTTTAATCAGGAAAAAGAGATGATGTAAAAGAAATTAAGCACCTAGCATGGAATTTGGTAGAATTTGTAATACGAAATTACATTTAATACTAGTAAATATATGTGTAATGGCAAGGGCTCCTAGAGAAATTCATCTTTAATTGGTCTGCTTTTATTCCTCATTCTCTAATTACAAGTTTGACTTTCTCACCTTTACGGATCCTCATGCTTTTTGCTTGACTGCAGGGCCGTGTTACATGTAACAATCTTTCAAGATTCAGTGCTGTAATACGCTAAACTGAACATTCTCTTTACACAGTTTCCTGCTGTGTTTACTTTATGATGTTTTAAATAAATGTTGAAGGGAATTTATAGCTACTTAATACTAGTTCATGTGCCAGAAGTACTTAACTGAAAGACTATTTGAATAGGTGCCTGTGGATATATCCACTTATAACCTCATATTGGATGTTTCCTATATTTGCCAAAAGAAATGAACTATTTTGTCTTATTAAAGTGTGGCTCAGTACTGCATAGAATATATTAAATAATGCCTCTATTATTCATCATTATCAGTGACTCTAGGATTTCATGTAATTGAATTTTAAAGGATAACAAAAATTATAATATTCAAAAGTTCAAGTTTTTACCATTCTTTTTTTCTATAATTATTTTAGCCAAAGCTTTCTCATCTTTTTGAGTCACTACTTTGCCTCACTAAAAAAAGTATTTTAAACATTATTGGCTTTTTCTCTGATTATTTGTAACTGCTATTTTGGACATTAATTGTTGAGCTACATTCTAATCAAGACTACTGTATTATCAACAGCTTACCCTACTGTGTATGTAGTTGTACCTTTCATTGATTTTTCTATCCCCTAACTCTTGGTTATATTGTCAGCTGCTACTTGAGTGTATCCATGTGTTTTCCTCTACTTTTAGTTTGCTTTCTTAGTTTGCTCTCTGAATAGGCTTTACTCTACTCTTGGTTTGTTTTCTTAATCTGATGTGGGCTGGGAAACCACTAACTAGTATATAATTTATAGAATTCTGTGTCAAATAAGAGTTGGAAGCTTCAAGCAAGAAACCAATCCAGAGACACGTGTACGAGTTTTCCTAATTGCATTTTTGAATGCTCTTTGACACTAATGGACCTGTACTTAAGTTTAGATTCACCGCCTTGGCTCAGACTGAGCCTAAGGAAGAGCTGTGTTGCTACATGGGGCACTGCAATGAGTAGTCAACGCTCGGTATTTGACTTATTGTCAGTTTGCAGACTCCTTATTCTGCTATTGTTTTTTATATTTCCCACCTGCTGCTTGAATTCCTAGAGTTCCAATGCCCAAATGGATGCCAAATAATTCAAGTTAATTTGTTCATGTGTATATATAATTTCAAGGAAAATAAGTCATTGTATATGTATTATGTACCCAATAATAAATTAATTTTTAATACAATGAACATGTAAAAATAAAAAACTACCTTATAAATAATAAAACTGGGGCTCAGAGAAGCTATAGAAATCATGCATGCTTATTCATCAACAAAAGCTCACAAAGCACATACTGTTTGTAAGTAAGAGAGGTTCAGCAAACATTTCTTAAATAAATGAATTTTGCTGATATTTTGCTGATACAGTCTGGCTTCAAAACACCAGTTATTTTCACAACATAAAGATAGTGAGCAGAGATGGCGAATTTAAAGTGAGCTTTGAGATTATCCTTGGTTTTCACTTAAAAATTATAATTTTTGTTTTACAGAGACAGTATCAAGAATTGATCTAGGAAATAATAAAATCTTAAAAGAGATCCAAAATTAGTGTCAGAGTATAACCCACAACATTCCACAGCAATCAAACAAAAAGATAGTCTAAGATTTGCACTTATGATGCTGACTGATATATATAAATAAATAATCCACAGTTATAGGTGGGTTTCATAACAGCAGAGCCTGTTAAATTCAGAAATGTCCATTTTCCCATGCTGCAGACTGCTAAGTAAGATTGAATGGTTCCTGTTAAGATCAACAGATACTTAGAAAGCTTAATTTATATAGAAATGTTTTGAAAGAAAGAAATCACAATCCTTTGCTTGTTTATTGATGGTGGCTGTTATGAAGAGCTTGTTATACACTGTTCTTGTCTGTTCTAGGGGCAGAGCCTCAGGAATACACTTCTGGAGAAAGTCCACTGTCATAGAAATGAAAAACTGGCTCCTCCAGATCACCTTTCAGGTAAGCCCAATGAATGGCACTCTCTAACTTCCATCTCACTCAGGGATGATTTATTAGCAAGGAGTAGAAACACACCATCTTTCCTATAACAAAATGGTCCTCGGCCCCTGGTACTGCAGACTGGTAGCGGCCCGTGGCCTGTTAGGAACCGGGCCACACAGCAGGAGGTAAGCGGCAAGGAGTATGACCTCCTGAGCTCCGCCTCCTGTCAGATCAGTGGAGGCATTAGATTCTCATAGGAGCACAAACCCTATTGTGAACTGCAGATGGAAGGAATCTAGGGTGCCCACTCCTTATGATAATCCAACTAATACCTGATAATTTGAGATGGAAGAGTTTCATCCTGAAACCAACCCCCCACCCCCAGTCCGTGGAAAAAAAGGTCTTCCACAAAACCCGTCCCTGGTGCCAAAATGGTTGGGGACCACTGCTATAAGTGATAGAAAAAGAAAAAAGAAGGGAAGGGGAGGGGAAGGGAGGGGAGGAGAGCGGAGGAGAGGGGAGGAGGGGGGAGGGGAGGGGCACCAAAACTAAGAGAAAATGCTCACAGAATCCATTTAAGAGAAACTTAACTAAAAGAATCATGTATCTGGGTCTGTGTGGGTATGCAGCTCTGGGTTTGTTTGACAATGGCTCTTTCTATGTATTGGCTTCTGGTTTATTATTCCGTAAACTGTCTTCTTATTTGTCCGTATATACATGTCCCATGATGGCTGCGTGTTAAACCTTAAGTCTACAGAATATTTCTTTTAGATCACTACCTTTAAATAACTTCTTCAATGTAGGCCAGTTCTAAATTTCTAGGAAGAGGATCAGATTGACTCAGCAAGAGTCAGGTGTTCATTTCAATGAATCCTCTGTGAGCTGGAAGATGCATTTCTGTGATACATAGAATTGTATGTCTAGGCTATGGGTGCTATTCATATTGAGATCATTGGGCTGGTGGATAACTTTAGCAGGTTATTACTACTGCCTCCCAGTTTTGATAGCATTCCCCTTAAGATGTTTAGACAAAGAAAAATATCATTAGCAACATCTCTCCCATCGTCTGTCTGATTCTAATTCTTCAACTATGTTTTCTGAGCCACTAAGTGAAGGAACCAAAGCATCTTCTCACAAATTCTAAAAATAAACAAATGAAAACCAACTCCATGGTTCTACATCAAACAAAATAATGTTTATATAGCTGAAGATTGCATATCTAGGAAGGAAATGTTGTATTGATTATCTATTACTGCATAACAAATTACTCTAAAATTTAGCAGATTGAAACAACAAACACTGATTATTTCAGTGTCTGCGCGTCAGGAATCCAGGAGGAGTTTATCTAGATATCTCACAATCAGGGTGTTTCATAAGGCTACGATCAAGATACCGGACAGGGCTGTACCACCTGAAGGCTGAAGTGGGGAAGGATCTGCTTCTAAACTCATTTGAGTGGCTGCTGGCAGGTCTCCAGTCTTTATTAGCTGCTGATCATTTCTTTGCCACATGAGCCACTCCAGTATCGCTTTATCACAAAATTTAAATAACTAATCAACTATTAGGACAACAAATATTTTTTAAAGCTGAATCAACCAATATACTATGATAATTTATTTTTCTATTCTTCCCTTTTTTCTTTAGTTTTCTATAAACTTTTCACTATTTTTTTCTAGATACTCAACAAAATTCTCCAACAATTGTGAATATTATTCCATGTGAGCAAATTATAAAATAAACTATTAGTTCCTCTTTCTCTGTTTTTGGAAACGTTCTTCCAGCTATGTCCTGTCATCTGATTCAGATATGTATTGTTGATCACTAGCGCTGGCACTTCCCTTCACATTTCTGCTGAGTTTGATGGTCTTTTGTTTCTTGGATCTCCAGTGTTCTTTCTTGAATTGGTCCTTGTTATTTTGAAAAACATTCTCCAATACTTTTCTAAGAAAAAGCAGATGATCTTCCCCAGTGTTCGGACCTTCACAGTAGATTCATATTTTTGCTGGATATAGAATTTGAGGTTGAAAATATTTTCATACAGAAAGGCCTTTTAAAGGCAATACTCCACCGACTTCTAATTTTCAGTGTTGCTGTTGAAAAGTCTGAAGCCAGTCATTCAAATTCTTGCACATGACTTATTAAATACTTGCCTGATTCTTTTAGAATCACCTTTTTATTCCTGGTATTCTGAAATGTATGCTTTAGGGTAGGCATATGTTTATTGACGCAGGGCATTCATTGAATCTTTCCAATGAGGAAAATATAGTCTTCATTTCTGAAAATTATGAGCCATTTCTTAGATAATATCTGTACTTCTTTGTTTTTTCTGGATTTCTAGGGCTATAACACCTATTATTTAAGTAGTGGGCCTTCCTGATTAATCTTTAATTTTTAATATATTTTTGCCAAATTCTCTGTTAAACATTTGTTTCATCCTGAGATTTTGATATCATTAGCTAAATCTTTTACTGAATTCTGTTTTATATCTGATTTTCTAATTTCTTTTTCTTGGGAATTCTTTAATTCTTAAAGAATTAAATTCTTGGGAATTCTTTAACCTGGCTATTCATTCTTACTTAAAAATGAGTCACTAAAATCCTGATTGGTGTGAAATGACAAGGATGAGGAATGAAGGACCAGCAGATGTTTATGTTATGGAAATGTACTGATTTCTTAAGCTGTGGCAATCAATTTCTCCATGCTCTTGAATTTGACAGGGTGGGGAGAGAACAAGCAAGATAATGATAGTTTCTGTTTTGCTAGTAACATTTTAGGTTTTAAATGGAGGAATGGTGAGGAAGGTCCCAGAGTAGAGTATCTTGATTTTTACTTACTCTGCCCTTTTCTCAACCTGGATCTCAGTGCAGTTTCGCTGAGTTTGAAGACATTTCTCCAAAAGCTTCACTCTCAGTATCCCCTGGTTGGGGTGAAAGTTTGGATGTTGGAGAGTAAGGGAGAGGAGGGCTAGTCTTGACAGTGTGAGATGTGTCAGGTGAGATGTGAGATGTGTCAGGAGCCTGCCCTGTATAGATCTTACACCAGTTCTATTGTGTTCAACTGCATTCTTGTGCTTCCAAATTCTCAAGATTAGATGCTGAAGAATCAGAATTCTCAGGAATTTTTAGACACTTTCCAAATCATAAGTTAATCTGTATTTTTCATAAAGCTTTATTTGCATGTTTTTAAGTAATAGTAAGTGACCTAATAATAAGCAGTAAACCACTTTTCTGTGATAGGACCAAACTGAACTTGCAGGAATTTTTGACAAAATTTAAAAAAGAGTATTAAATGCATGACTTATGATTATTATGAATCAATATTATTATGACAAGATATTTATTTTAATAATCTATAAAAATCATCTCTATCCAACATAATCATTTGATAATAGAAAACACCAAAAGAAACAAAATAAATACTAAATAAAAATCATTCAAAGCATTGAAAGATAATATCAAAAATATGTAAAATATTTTAAAGTACTTTTCTTAATGTAAAATTTTAAAGCACACAAAGTTTTAATAGCCCTACCTAATAGTCTTGATTTTTATAACAAACATCCCATTTTTTTGGAAAAATTGCTTTCATTTTGCACTGATGGCTTGATAAAGTCCAAAGATCTTCAAGTTGCATATCAGAGTATATGTTACTTCATAAAAGTTTATCTCATTTTTTAATGATGAAAGTATTTCATCTGCCTTCTCTAAGTTTGGTTTTGCCATTGAATTTATGTTGCTTTTGATGATTCAAATTTTACATTGGTTACTAATTCTATGTCAGAATATTCCACAACAATTTCATATATTTTTCTCCTTGCATTTCTTCTGTTAAGTTATTTACAAACAATTGTAGCCTATGAAGTATTTTAAACACTAGAAAACGCCAGCTAACATTATTGGGTCATATCACAATAATATAACATTCTGATATTCCAACACAGTTAACAATACTATGCAGAATCACGTGTCAAAATTGTCAACTTAAGAACTTATTTTGCTTCCAGACTTATTTCTTAGAACAACATTCAAAGGATTTGTATAAAGTATACTATGTATATAAATGTATTAATATTCATTTTATTTGCAAGAATGATTCATCCTTAGCAGCAGACAGGACCACAGACACCTAAAACATGGCAACAACCACTGACGAGACGGTGATTGCTGCTCATCTACCTGCTCCTGTTCTGGTCCTGGAAATGTCCATCTTACGCTTCCATTCTGCGTACCAGTGATTCCTGCTCTTGCTTTCAACTTGACATCAGTCTATTCTTTCAAACTAGAAACATTGCTATGGTGATTAAGCTTTAATTCTAGCGGAGGAATTGTAATTTGTTTTCCTGTTTTCTCAACTGATTTCTCTCTGAATTCAGAAAAACACACAAATTTTCCAAAAATGCCGGAAAAGAATCCCCACATGGAAACACTATTCTATGGTTAACCTTCATTCTCTGTGTCTGGGATGCCTCCAATCATTAAAGCTCTCAAAACTCCATGGAGTAATAGATAACATCCCCGCTATGACCACCCCCGTAGACAATTAGGTTGAAACTCTTCTACCTTCCTAAATTGTATGTTTTCTTTCTGCTTCTCATCTCCTTGAATTTTAATAAATCTCTCATCTGCTATATTTTCTCTTCTTTCTAGGTTATTTTATTCCTGTGAATTAATATCTTTGCACTAATATCAGTGAGATTTGGGGGGTTTGAAAAAAGATAAACGAGAGGCATGAACCTAATATTTTTACTCATGCCTCTCCTTGCCCTTGGTAGTTAACTTGCCTACCTACAGTTGATAAGAGAAAATATTTAAAAAGAATAAATAATATAATAAAGGGGCTGGGAGGAAACTTTTGGAAGTGATGAAGATAGTCATGGTCTTGATAGAGGTGACCATGTATACTTATCCCCAAACTCATTGGATTATATACATTAAATATATATAGTTTTTCACGTGCCAATCATACTTCAATAAAATGGTCTAAATAAAGAAAGAGAATAAAACACTTTATGTATCTCACAACTTAACTCCACCCCACATCAGTCACAGGTTAGAGGACAAATAATGAACTCTATACTCAGGCCATGTCTGTCAGTTTATCTCACCCAAATATTTAAAATTGCTGTTGAAGCCTGAGAATGGTAACTCATGCCTGTATTCCCAGCACTTTGGGAGACCAAGGCAGGAGGACCACTTGAGGCCAGAAGTTCAAGACCAGCCCAGGCGACATAGTGAGACACCATCTCTATCTACACACACACACAGACACACAAAAGAAAGAAAGCCAGGTATGGGGGCTTGCACCTGTAGTCTCAGCTATTCAGGAGGCTAAGGCAGAAGGACTGCTTGAGCCTAGGAGTTTGAGGATGCAGTGAGCTATGATTGCACCACTGCACTCCAGCCTGGGCAACAGAGCAAGACCCTGCCTCTACAAATAAAATAAAATAAATAAAATAAAATAAAATAAAATAAAATAAAATAAAATAAAATCTACCAGGTTAAAAAATAGAAAATGAAAATCTACAGACTAGGGTTTTATTTACTATCTTCTGTTTAATTTTATTCCCCTTTTTTCATTTATGCATTCAGTAATCAATTAATTGACCGCCTCCTATGTACCTATCTTTGAGCTAAGTATCCTGGTGATAAAATGAATGATTCACAGCCTTGGTCATCCAGGAATCCAAGTCTAGTCTGGAATAGATAAATAGATAAATAGATAGATAAATCAACAAATAGCCCATCATATCTAACAAATATATATCCACCAAATGTTGTAATGAAGAGAGAAAAGTGCTTATCTGCCAGAAAGGATCTGGAAGGTTTCCCAGAGGACCAAAACACTGAGCTGCAATAGGTAAGATGGAGGTAGTCAATCCCAGGACAAAAATATCCAAATAGAGTAAAGAGTATGAGAAATGCCCTGAAGAAAAGAGCAAATGAATCCTAAATATCCTAAATGAAAGAGAAAATGTCATTTCCGAGATGAGCAAGAAGTGTCACGAAACTGGAGAATAAGGTGTTCAGATAGACAGTACACGTGGAGAGGTTAAAAGTGCAGACTGGAAAAGACCGTGAAAGGGAAGTTTGGCATTTATGCTGAAAGTAGAGATGTTTTAGGCATAAGAGTGATGTGATCATATTTGCATTTTTATAAGAGAATAGCATGATGTTGTGGGGTTTTGGTGAGGAGCCGAGAGAGGCAGCAGGTAGAATATTCTAAGAAAGCTCTCATACTAATTCAGAGGGAAAGGACACCAGCCCAAAAGTTATGGGTTTGTTTGTTGTTTCGTGGGGAAGTCAGGAAATTAAGTGGACATGTCATGTCCTCTGAGAACACTTTCCTGACCACCCTACACATCTGGGCTTTGACCCTCTATTTTGTTTCATAGCATGCTCACAACAATCACACAGTTGATCAGAATTTCATGTTTAGCTATTAGGCACCTTGAAGGCAATGGTGATCTAAGAGTCTTATTTACCATTTTAGGACCTAGCAGTATTGTATGGGCACCCAGTATTTGTTGAATAAATGAAACCCAACTCTCTGAGACTCTTCAGGCAGATTCTTACACTCTCCTTGCTTCTAGCAAATGGAAAATTACCTTACTGACATCTGCAGCATACACACCAGAGGAGCCCAGGAGTGGTGGCCAGACCAGCAGCAGCTGTATCAACTGGGAACTGCTTAGGAAAGCTGTCTTGGTACCCACCCCAGACCTATGGAATCACAAACGCTGGGGTTGAAAGCCCAGGAATTGGTGTTTTAACAAGCTTTCCACATCATTCTGATGCAAGCTAAAGTTTGAGGCTTTACATGATATATTCTGTTCCAATAATAACTTGTCTTTGCTAAGAGATCATCTGTCCTAAGTTCTTTTACCTTGCTTTAAATCTAGTTTTGGTGTTCGATAGCCCCAAATCTGTAAGCATGTGTCTCAGTTTGGGCTGCTCTAACAAAGTACCATAGACTAGGTGGCTTACAAGCAACAGAAATTTACTTCTCACAGTTCTTGATGCTGGATGTCCAAGATCAATCAGGGTGCCATCATGGTTGAGTTTGACGAGAGCTCCTCTTTCAAGGTCCAGAGTGTTGACTTCCTGTGGTATCCTCACATGGAAAAAAGACGGCAAGAGCGCTCTCTGGGATCCCTTTTATAAGAGCATTAATCCCATTAATGAGGGATTTATCATCTCCCAAAGGCTCCACTTCCTAATACCATCCTGTTAGGGGTTAGGATTTCAACATATGAATTTGGAGGGGAACACAAACATTTCATTCATTGCAGCAAGGTTATATAGGATGAGAATGGTGTGAAATGAGGACTTCTTTAGTTGTTCTGAGTAAAAAACGCAATAATCAATACTTATCTAGTTATAAAAGATCTCCATGCTTATAACTTTATTTCATGAACAAGTACTTGTTTAATGGAACCAACCCAATGACTCTCCTGAGAAGTACAATAGACCCCTCTTTAAGGGTACGATTCTGACTTACAATGAACAGAGACACAGCAAGTTGAACCAGATTGCCATATTGTCATTCTATGGGTTTCTTTGGTCTAAATTCTCTAACAAATGACAATGTGTCCGTTGCTGGGTTGGAATCAGTAATATTTCATCAAAATGTGTCCTTGATTGATTTTATTTCTGCCAGAATTCCTGCTCAAGTCCAGCACTGGGCCTTCAGTCGTCCAGGCCAGCAGGGTATCCTAATCTCAACCTGAGTTAAAGTCTTAATAAAAATACTACCAAGATGGACACAATTTTTTTTATTAAGTCAAATAAAAATGATAATGCCGGTAACGACATATTTGTCTCACTTAAACAAAAGTGACAGTAAGTCACTCTAGGAGGGCTTACGCATACACAAACACACTCACACACAAATCCTCTTGTTCGGTTTTTTGCATTCTTAGTATTGTAATCATTTCTTGTTCTACTATGTCGCACCTTCACAGTGAATATACATTATACAGCTCAAGCATACTGATTTTCACTTCATGAATCTATAAACCCTATAATTCTTACCCCAAACCTAGCAGTTTAACCTGTCTTTGGAGGAATGATTTAATAACAGAGACTTGTAATGAGAACTCTTATCACTAAAATGTCACTGTATTTACAAAATATACTACAGGGCACTTACTAAAATACTATAAAGTGCTATCATAAATCATTTAGCGTAGGCTACCCTTTTAAAAATACATTAATAAAACAGAAATAGTTCAGTATCCCTGACTTTAAAAACATCTATTCTTTCTACTCTGAAATATTGTGAGTGCTCTCAGTTACTATTACTTTGTGGTGTCTTTCTCATGTTCAACACTCTCTTAATAGTCTTAACCAAACATTCATTTAAAAATAACCTACAGTCCATTTTTACTATATTAATAGATAATAATAGAATATATGGGGAGTTAAGGAGGTGAAGAAAGGTAGGAAACTACTATTCACTGAATAAATAATAAGTATGTTAATAATGATAATACTTCCATTTACTATTATCTAATGTGTGATAAGAACAATCTTACATGCCTCATGTAGGCAGGATGCTAAGTAGATATTAAGTAGATGCTAAGTAGATATTAAGGAGACTTGTGAGGCAGGTGTTATGATCTCCATTTCATAGGACAGGAAACTAAGGCAAAAGAAAAATCAGAATAGGAGTGGAAATGGAAAAAGAACTGTGTTTTAATCACCTTTTAATTTGTTATTTCCCCCAACCCCAGAATATTCTGTATTCTTAGTTGGAATACATAAGGTATAATAAGATAAGTGACCTGCCCAAAGCAACACAGCTCATTAGTGACTAAGAGCGGATTTAAACTCTATTCTGTTTGATTCTAAAATTCATGTACATTCCACTGTGCTGAGCAACCTCTCACTCATGTTTTGGATATAGAGAGTGAGGAGTTTTCTTTTGCCCTTTGAATGAATGGGAAAATGATTAAATGACCTTAAGTCAGTGGCAAGAAGATACCTTTCCAATGTATTTTCTGAGTATAGTCAGGGAACTCTGAGATATGTAATCTCAGAAGAACCAGAAAGAATGTTTTGAAAAAGGAATTCCTAGTAAATTTTCCAAAGAGAGGGGGAAAGCATTTATTCTTCCATGACATCTTTGAAAGCAGAGAGACAAGCAATCACAAGCACTGGCATCATGAACCTAGACATTCAACTCTCTACTGCTTACCAGAAACTGCCTTTTAATATCCACATTTTCAGTCTTCAGCCAAGAAGACAGAATAGTCTGGGGCAGAGGAGAAGAGCAAATTCAAAAGAGCTTTTTAAAACACAGTTCTTTCTCCACGTCCATGCTTATCTTGATTCTTCTCAACCATTGTGCAGACTCAGATAACCTTAGACCTTTGATTTTCAAAATTATTGCAATCAGGCCCTAATGATATTTTGATCATTAATGTTTCCTTCTTTGAAAAACAAAGACAACCAAATGTTAACTGCTTCCTAATAAAAAGACGAAACTTCTAAAACACTCTTGCCAAAAATCAAATCTGATTCTCCCCAAATCTTTAGCACTACCCACCAATATTAAGACATGTAAGGGATAGAGGTACATGTTAAATGATAAAAAGGACAAACTCAGCAAAATGCAGAATATGAGACACTCTACAGAACAAAAGTCCCAGTTTCTTCAACAAATATATCACGAGAAATAAAAAAAAAAGGGATGAAAAAGAGACAGAGTCTCACTCTATCTCCCAGGCTGGAGTGTAGTGGTGCGATCTTGGCTCACGGTAACCACCTCCTGGGTTCAAGCGATGAGTAGCTGGGACTACAGGCGTGCGCCACCACACCCAGCTAATTTTTGTATTTTTAGTAGAGATGGGGTTCCACCATGTTGGCCAGGCTGGTCTCAAACTCCTGACCTCAAGTGATCCACTCGCCTCAGCTTCCCAATGTGCTGGGATTACAGGCGTGAGCCACCGCGCCTGGCCAGAAATTTTGTATTAAAAGAGACTTATCAACTAGTTGCAATGTATGGACATTACTTATTTAGACACTAGTTGAAACTTTAGAAAGAAGTTATGAGAATATTGACAGAACATTTGATGACATTATGGGATTTGTGTTAATTATTTTAGATATGACTATGGAATACTGGAAATGTTTTTTACAAGAGTCCAAATTCTTAAAATTATATACTGCAATATTTATGCATGAAGTTATATGCTTTCTGGTACTCTAAAAATAATAATAATAATTTTGCTGGGCTCCAGTGGCTCATGCCTGTAGTCCCAGCACTTTGGGAGTCCAAGTCAGGCAGATCATTTGAGCCCAGGAGTTCAAAACCAGCCTGGGCAACATGGTGAGACCCCGTCTCTACAAAAAATACAAAAATTAGCTGGGTGTGGTGGCACGTGCCTGTAGTCCCAGCTACTCAGGAGGCTGAGGTGGGAGGATTACCTGAGCCCAGGAAGTTGAGGCTGCAGTGAGCCATGATTGTGCCACTGCACTTTAGTCTGGGCACCAGAGTGAGATCCTGTCTCCAAAAATAAAAATAAATAAATAAAATTTAATAAATAGAGGTAAAAACAGTAGAGGGAAGTATAGATGAAATATTCTGTGTGGTGATGATTATTGAAGTCAAATCATGAGTAGTATATGAGAGATCATATTATTCATTATTTCCTCCATTTGTATGTGTCTGAAATATTTAGTAATACAGTTTTTTAAAGTTTATTTTAATCTAATATAAAATCAACCAGTAACTTATTGTGTATTTCACATGAACTGGATAGTGCTCTGAAGATTAAAAGATATTAAAATCTCACCAGGGATAGGACATATAAATACATGCAATAATTCACAACTCAGTTTCCTGAGTGAATTCTACTATACTATTTTTACTATCTTAAGAAGACTAAGAAAATTATTCCCCTAAAGCTATACAGACCACCTGCCACTCCAAGTTACTTCTCAACTGACTGAAGTAACATCAACTCAGTGTGACTAACCTGGTTATCTCATTTTCTAAATATATTAGTTAGTATTTGATAGGGAAAACCTTCCAAAATAGATAGTGTTCTGTGTGAGATTTGGAGATTTAAAAATAGGTTCTCTTTAATTGTTATAAAACCTTAATGCTATGAACTCAATTGTGTCCCCTCATAATTCATGTTGACACCCTAACCCCTAATGTGACTATATTTGGAGTAAGGAAGTAATTTTTGTTAAATGAGATCATAAGGGTGGATCCCTGATAGGACAAGTGGCTTTCCAATAAGGTATACCAGAGAGCTCCCTAGCTCTGTCTGCATCTGTAAGAACACAGTGAGAAGGAGGCCATCTGCAATATAGGAAAGGAGACCTAACCAGAAATTGAATCCGTTGGCCCCTTAATCTAGACTTTCCTCCCTCCAGAAACGGTAAGAAAATAACTTGCTATTGTTGAACCAACTAGTGTATGGTATTTGCTACGCCAGCATGAGCTGACTATGATGCTTGGTGTGTATAATAATCACCTCTTGAGATCATTAAAAAGAAATGAAGAAGAAACTATAAATTTATAATTGTACATTTAGATACTCAGATTCCACCAGGTCCCACCCAAGCGTCTGTAGTTGTAAGAGGCTCATAGGTGATTATGGCACCCGTAAGAGATGGTATTTATACTCATACTCTTACCAAGTAGGTGTGGGAAACTCTGCAACAGAGGGAAGAGTCCTGGTCCTTGTGCTGTTCTACCCCTGCTCCCCTGCTCCCCTGCTCCCCTTCCCCGCTTCACTCTGTATTCCCAGCAAAGCAAGTGGAATGGTATTCTTTTCTCTTTCCAAATCAGATGGCCAATTTAATAATGTTTAAAGAACTTTTCCAGCCAAAGCAGCTATGGAGCCCAAAATGTTCTCACTAAGTGGAAATGTCTGGGAAGGTTTCTGTAGTACTTTATGCACAACACTTTGTATCTGCCATCCCCAACAGAGCACAACTGCACTCTTAGCTCATGTGCTATTGATTGATAAATGTATGTACAGAAACTTGTAGATTCCTGCATCTGAATAGAACAATCAAGTTTGTGGGCATAGAAGAAATGGGTCTGTGTTTCATTTTAATCATTTTCACTAGTAATACTCCAGATTACTGTCCCATTGAATCAGTGGTTCATTAAAGAAGCCAGATTTACAAAGTTAGAACTAGAAATTCCCCATAATTTTAAATTACAAAATAATTCAAACATAAAAATGTAAAAGTCAGTAAAGTACTAATGCATCTACTGATAAAAAAAACTCATGCTATCATAATTAAAATCTTAATTTAAGTGAACTTGTTACTGTATAATTTTTATATAATTACATTAATCAATTTTAAGTATAAATTTAGGTACATTCTGACAAATATATACTGTCATATAAAGACCAGCACAATCGTTATATAGACTACTTGTATCATTCCAAATATTCCCTCCTTTCCCTTTGCAGTCAATTCCTTCTCATTTATCCTAGCTCCTGGCAACCACTAATCTGCTTTAAATGAGATGGCAAGTCATAAACTGGAAGAAAAGTTTTACAAAATATTTGTCTGTTTTATACCTAAAAAAAATTCTTATAACTCACTTAGATAACCCATGAAAAAATATTTTCAAATGATTCTAATAAACACTTTTCCAAAGAAGATATATAAACAATAAATGAAAAGATATTTAGCATCATTAGGCATTAGGCAAATACCTATTGAAATCACAAAGAGATATCACAAAATCCATTCTACTAGTGATAGAATGGCTAAATTTTAAAAATCTGACAATACCAAGTTTGCATGAATATGGAGCAACTGTAACAAGGCTGGTGGGAATGTAAAATTGTGCAGTCACTTTGAAAATTTTCATTATTTTTATGAAGCGAAGCTTATCGTCAGACCCAGCAATCCCACTCCTGACAACTGAAAAACCGTCTATACATAAACTTATGTTTGAAGGTTTATAGCAGTTTGTCAAATCTCTTTATTTAAAACAAAAAGGCAAAAACTACCACATTATAGATGCAAATGAAGGCAATTCCTCTATGTGGTTCTGCTTCCATTCTCTTTTCAGAGATAACCACTATCCTCAAGTTGAGGTGTTTTCTTCTTACAAGGGAGTTTATTCTGTTACTACACAAGCATGCTTCTGTGAAAAAGTAGCATTGTTTTAGAAAAAATATATCTAAATCATATAATTTTGGATGTAGCCTTTTACAATTTGCTTTATTCATGTAACAGCATTATTTTTAGATTTATCTATGTTTCAATGTAACTCTAGTTCACTCATAGTTATTACTATACAGTAGTTCATGGTATAGATACATGATATGTATGCAATTTTCTATTAATGGACATTTAGGTTGTTGCAAAGTTCTTTGCTATTACAAACAATGTTTCAAGGTGCAAGAATGTTCACACTTTCTTGTCTGTGTGTAAGTCTCTTGAGTGTGTTGGAACCATTTCACCCTAGAAATGGTTATAGGATATGCATATATTCACGGCTATTAAGTATTACCACATTTCTCTTCAAAGTGGTTGTGCTGGATATTTGTCATCTGTCCTTTGTGACAATGTCCATCCTTTTCCACACTGCTCTGCAACCCCAGAGACTAACCTTTATGAACTTGGTTCCCATCACTTTAAGTTTCTGTTGGGTTTGGCCAATGGGAGTAGATATTAGAGGGCAGAAGTTGGAGAGTAGTAAGGTCCCTACCTGGTGGGATGTAGTTTATCAGTCTCGGAAGTCTTCTATAAGGATCACAGTTTCAGCTGGATGGCTATTTCTAATAAGGACAGCTGTCTGTGTCATCATCCTTCAGGTCTAAAGGTAGTAACAGCTTCCTGCAATTACTAAACCTATGGTGCTCCAATATCCCTTGTCAACCCTTATCCCTTACTCTCAGCTTTGTAAATAGTCTAGTCATTAAACTCTCTTCAATTACTTCTTTGAAGTGTGACATCTGTTTCCTGCTGGGACCAATATGATGGTTTTCCAATTCACATACCCACTTATGAGAATTCCTGTTTCATCCTTGCCAATACTTGATATTAACATATTTGTTCATTTTTGACAATTGGATGAGAGTGAAATGAAAAATCATGATAATCTTAATTTGAATTTCCTGATTAGTAGAAGTATAGCATTTTTCACATTTACATTGGCCACTTAGATCTCTTCCTCAGGGAATTTTCTGTTCATCTTCATTACTCATATCTTATTGAATTGTTGATCTAATTGATTTGTAGGAATTTTGTATATGTCCTGAAAACTAATACTGTATTAATGATGAATGTTGAAAATATCTCTCCATAGTTTGTGGCTTTTAAAAAATTATTATGGAAGCTTTTGTTGTGCAAAATTTTAAATGAAGTCATTTATCAATATTGATGTATTTTAGCTTGCTTAGGAAATATTTTCATTCTCCATATCATTAAATTCCTCTCCTATTTTTTCTACATTAAATTTTTTTCCTCGTGTATTTTATGCATCTGGAATTTATTTTTGTTTATGGTATGTTGATATAATGTAATTATCTTCCATATGGATAGCCAATTGTCCCCAAAGCTTTCCATGAATGGCCTATACATTTCTCATTAAATTGTATTGCCAAATTTGTCATTTCACAAGTTTCTTATGTGCATTAGTCTGTTTCTTTGCCCCACATTTTATTCTACTTTTATTTGTCTGACACTAGACCAATATCAGAAAGCATGAATTATTCTAGCTGTATAGGGTTCTCCTAATAAGAATGCTTCCATTTTATTCTTCCTTAAGTTGTTTTTTATTATTTTTGGCCATTTATTTTTTTCATGTGAATTTTAGAATAAGCTGGCTAAATTTTTCAAACATAAGCATTTTTTGGATTTTTTATCAGAAGTACATTAAATCCTTAGATTAAATCTGGAACTGACTTCCCTAATATTGACTCTTCCCATCCATTCATGGATGTAGTGTGTGTGCACAGATATGCATGTGTGTATATATGTATATTTATATGTATACATGCATGTGTGTGTATATATGTATATGCGTATACCCCTCATTTACCTCTCAAGTTTGAGAACTTTTTCCATAGAGATTTTGGATGTGTTTTGTAAGATTTATTCCTGAATACCCCAGATCAAGCAGATTTATTACTAAATACCTTAGCTCAAGCTTGTCCAACCCGTGGCCTGCAGGCCCATGTGGCCCAGGATGGCTTTGAATGTGGCCCAACACAAATTTGTAAAGCTTAAAACAATATGAGCTTTTTTTGTGATTTTCTTTTTTAGCTCATCAGCTATCGTTAGTATTAGTGTATTTCATGTGTGGCCCAAGACAATTCTTCTTCTTCCAATGTGGCCCAGGGAAGCCAAAAGACTGGACACCCCTGCCTTAGATGTTGTTGTTACTATTGAGGATGAGACCATTATATTCTCTAATTGGTTGTTGCTGTTACATAAAAATGCTAAGTATCAAAATTTCTGTTTTGAGATTTAATTCTGCAAATTTTCAGAACACTAGTAGTGCTGATTCCAATTTTTTAAAATTAATTTTATTTATAAATAATCATATCACTTGAAACAAAATTTAATTTTATTTCATCCTTTATAATTCTTATACCCCTACCTTTAAAAAAATTTCTTTCTTTTTCTGTCATATTACATTGTCTGAACCCTTTAATAAAATGTTGAATAGTAGGAGTAAAAACAGATATCCTTGTACTAGCCCTGACCCTAGAGAATGCTTCTAACCTCTCGCCATTAAATATGATGTTCCTTTCAATGCAGTGGCAGATACCATTTGTAAGGTTAAGGAAGGTTTTTGTTTCAACAGACTGCTAAAAATTAGCATCATGAATTGGGATTGAGTTTTTTACATATTTTTCTACATTTATTTATCATTTTGGTTTGTATGAACTCAGTTAATATTGTCTCATATGAGTATATCGACATATTGAAATTAAACTATTTTTCACTCATTAAGAACATGGTTTAGTATATTTGATGTGCTATTTTTTTTATCTATGATCATAAACGGGATTGGTCTACAATGTTCTTTTCTTATATTGTCTGACAAATGTTTAGTAGTATATAATTTTGGATGGAAGGTGGGGGTATAGGAGTTGTTTATAAGATTTTTTTATCACTTTTTGTTATTTGAAGATTTACTGAGTCTAGATATAGACTTGGTTTAATTTATCTTTCTCAGAATTAAGAGGGCTTTATCAATATGTTGATTCATATCTTTCACTAATTCTAAGAAATTTCTTGCCATTATGCGAGCTGAGCATACTCTTTTACCACATTTTCTCTCTGTTCTCCTTTTAGAATTCCACTTTTGGTTATTCTTATTCCATCCTGCAGGCTTTCTGACATATCATTTGTCACATTTCTTTATGTACTAAATTCTAGTTAATTGTTCAGGTCTATTTTCCAATTCACAAATTTTTCATTTCAGCTGTGTCATTTCAATATCATTTTTCATTAATAGAAAATCTCTTTAAAATATTCTATTTATTTTTCATGGTGATCTGTTCATTACACATGTTCTACGTTTTTTCTTCTTAAAAATTTTAAAAATATAGTTAGGTTCATGATTTTCAGATTTTTCTATTTTCTCTAGCACTCTTAGTTTGTTTTATGTGTTTTCTGACTTGATGCCATGGTCTATTCTTATTTCACACAGTTGCATTTTCCAAGAAAGTCCCACAGAAAAATATTTGCCATAGCATCCCTACAGATTTATGTTTTCTTTTATACTCCATTAGGGGAATTATCAACCAAAGGTCTTTTTTGTGTGTTAATTTCACAAATCTGGAGTCCCACCTTGTATTAGTCCATTTGCACGCTGCTGATAAAGACATATCTGAGACTGGGAAGAAAAAGAGGTTTAATTGTACTTATAGTTCCCCATGGCTGGGGAGGCCTCAGAATCATGGTGGGAGGCAAAAGGCACTTCTTAACATGGTGGCAGCAAGACAAAATGAGGAAAATGAAAAAGCAAAAACCCCTGATAAAACCATCAGATCTCGTGAGACGTATTCACTACCACTAGGACAGTATGGGGAAAACCGCCCCCATGATTCAAATTATCTCCTATCAGGTCCCTCCCACAACATGTGGAAATTATGGGAGTATAATTCAAGATGAGATTTGGATGGAGACACAGAGCCAAACCATATTACACCCCACATAGGTTGTGAGTAATGTACAGGCTGGCTTTGGACACTTGTAATGAGCAGTGTTGTTTCAACATCTCACACACTCCACATGTCTTCCTTGGTCCAGAGGGAAGGATTTCTCTAATCCTCCTTTCATGGAGTAGGCAACCCTTCCTAAGTCCTGGCCTTATGCAAGAACATCATTTCTACCCCCTTTCCTTGCACAAGTTCCTTGTCATGCCTTTGACCCTGCATGGGCAATGAAATTTCAGGCCTCGGCATTGGGCTTGTGACTGAAACTTACATCACCCCAAAGCTGCCCCAGTGTAGGCTCGTATGCAGACTTCTCAAGCTTTGAGTTTCCTCTTTGCATCTGAAGATTCCCATTATTCCTTTCATAGATAGATAGATAGATAGATAGATAGATAGATAGATAGATAGATAGATAGAATATTATACAACATATCTACATGTTAGAGATTACAGGAGGTAGGGCAGTCCACTTTATCCCCTCCTGCCATAGTGCTGGAAACAGATGTCTGGTGTACTTCTGTCCTTCACTGTTGTCTGTAGCTCTTTTCACTCCTAACCTCTGCCAGGTAAACTGGGCATTTTTATCATTACATAGCCAGTATGGTGAAGGTCCTGGCTAATGATAGGAACTATTAAAAAAAAAAAATCTTGCATTTTATTTCCCAAGCTTAGAACTGGACTAAATTTTAACAAGGACCAACACAACTTTGCTACTCTTATTGAATCCTTTGACACATCACAGCCTTCTCTACCATAGTTAGACACAGACCAGCACTTTGCAAGTCAAGTAGCTTTGGCCCTCTCCTAATCCAACCAGAAGCAGGAAATCCCAGTGTGTTCCTAAGATGGTCTGTAAAATTGTCAGTGGTGTTTCAAATACTCACAAGATTAAGATTGTTTGATTGAATTACAAAAAGTATTTCAGATTTAAAAATATGCTTTTATAAGAAAATAAACACAGTTCAGTTGTATTTAAAATCGTAATGTATTTTTATCAAGTACACACCGTTCATCCTAAGCATGCTCTGTTTTCACTAATTTGTAGTAGGAACCCAGCACAGCATAAACTGGCTTTGCTTCAGATGTCTTTGTTCATCAGTGGGAAAATAGTCATCAGGATATTCAAAAAGGCATCAAAATTTTCAGAAGCACCAAAAGGGACCTTTGTAGTGATTCTAAATTTTCCATGGATTTCCTCTCAGTGGTTGTAAATATCCTTGAAAGGCCATATGAATTGTATCACAGTAGTTCAGGGGGAATGTTTGCTTATTTCTCAGCTGAGATATTTCTGTAAACAATAGGTCCCCATGAGAAAGCCAGATCCCTAATGTGGCTGATAATAGTTTGCTATATTTGCCAAATTGGAGAGTTTGGCAACATTATTTTCATTCTCTAACAGGAACTATTTCTTCCTTTGAGAGAACGAAATTATTTCAGAGTTGTATGTGAAACCAACAACAAGATGTTCACTTTGGGCCCCACAGTTTAAGAGACCTTTGGGTCATATGTTTTTATTATGCTTCCACGTCCTGTATTTAATACCTACTGAATTGAAGGTCTATGGCTAAAGTCAGAAGATGTATGGGTTCTATTTTGAACATTTTGCCTATACACTACAAAACTGATTTTCTTGGCTTCAATGAAATAGTCCTAGTTTTATGTTTCCTCTTGAGCGAGTATAAGCATATTCATTTTGAAAGCATCTAGGACAGTATTTACTAAGTAGCATTTTTTAGAGAGAGACACTAGTTTAGGCACTTTCACAAGCAGTGTATTATTTAATCTGAACCTATTCCTTTTGCAGGAGTGTGAAAGAAACATCAATCCAAGCTGTTAATTTTTAATGGCCAATTCCATTATCTCTTCTCCCATAATTTGTCTGCACTTTTTCTTTGCCTCCCATTCCCTAGCGCTAAAGTTCTCATTCATACCTTGGTCGGAACACACACATCAAGTGGCTTTGACACTCAGGTGCAATTACCAGTGATGCATTTGCCTCCATGCAAATGTCAGGATGTAGCAGCAGAAAGGTTACCTCCTTGCACTGCAGGGATAATCACTCTGTGAAGTGCCAAAGCTCTATTCACTTCATGTCCTTTTCAGATCCAATTCGAGGTTTCTCGCATCCGTCACAGAAACTGAGCCCTAAATCTGTGTCTCCTGGGACAGTCACACTAATTGGCCATCCCAGGTTTTGTTTTCTCTTAAGGTTCAGGAAGAGATGTTCCCATATGGAAATAGGAGGTTGGTCTGACTTATTGGGACCCATTCTTGCAGGGTGTTTAACCTTCAGGCTTTGGAGTGGTCAGTCATCTAGTTGACGTCTCAGGGGTTGAAAGTCAGGGGAAAGTGCCATCTGGATTCATTATGACTGTCTAGAATCTCTATCTCTTTCAGCTTGTGAAGGTCTCATCTCTTTGTCCTAATCTTTAATTATCCCATTAAGAGGAACAGGTGAAGCAAGGGGCGCTTCTGGGGTCTTTGGGAGAGAGAGTGGGAGATAGGAAAACAAAGAGACAGAGGGAGAAGATGAAGAAGAGCATTTGGGCTCTCCTTGTCGCTGCTGTTTTGCTCATCTCACCAGTTTGGAAAAGGGGGTAGGGACACACATGCTGGCTTTCTCTCCAACGCAGCTGAGACCTTTATGAAATCACTGCAGAGGCAGGGGCGGCAAGGCACTATTTTTATCTCCAAATTGATTCAGCTGCAGTCGCTGCTGTGCCTCTGACTTCATTGCTTCCCGGCCCTCCCCCTCGCTGTCCCCACTCCCAGCTTAGCCCGATTTGGAGACTTATCTTCAGCTTCCTGCGCCGCACCCTCCCCCCTCCTCCACGGCCTGGGGCCGGGCCGGGGCGGGCGGGCTCCTGCCGGATACTGATAGTGACAGCAGCAGATCGTGCCGCGGGCGCTGACGTCCCGCGGAGGCGCGCGGCCAGGCATCCGCGAGCCTCTCCGGGCCGCGCCAGCATCTAATTGTTCACTCTCCAATTTTCCCTGCCCTTGGGAACAGGGTTCCACAAAGAAATTTCATCAATTGAAATGCTGCACGCCTGAACATTTGCCAAATGTGTCCCATCTGACTAAGGTCTATGCTTTCAAATGTTGTTGCTAGGAAGAAAGGACATTTACACGCTGGGCTTGTCATCTTCCCTTCCTCCTAGGTTGATGTGGCTCCAGACCGAAGCTCCTGGAGAGAGTGGCTCGCCTCAAAGGACCGGAAGAGATTTTCTTGTTTAGGGAGGCAGAGGGACAGGGCGGGTTATACCACCCACCCTTGTTTTGCAGGTGAGGTTCCGAGTTGCCTCTCTTCTCCCTCTCTTTGAGATGCTGGGAGCTCTTCCAAAGCCGAGTGGTTTTCTGTTTCTCTCCATCCCCTGTGCCTAGAAAACAGGGGACTAGTCTTCAGAAATATTTGTTACAAGGAGCTCACAGAGTGTAGGCTCATTTTAAGTACAAACAACCTACCATTAGGAAAACAAAAGGATGTGTCAGTGGGCTGAAGATCCGGTGTCCCAGCAACTCCTTGGTTAATTGTCTGAACTCTCTGATTTCACATGGGCCTGACAGCACCCAGTGGAGACAAGTGGCAGGGCTGATTGAGTAAATGAGTGATGGAGTGACTGTCACTTGGGACAGGCAATGATAGTCTGTCTCTCCCCAAATGTTTTGTGTGTGTCAACGTTGTAGGAATGCTAAACTAGATCAAATTCCACCAGAAGGAATCTATCACCTAATAGGGAAGATGAGATATAAGCAAATCCAAAATGCAACTTACAAAACCAATGCCAAGATAGAGTTAAAGAGAAGATGATGAGAAAGATGTCCAAGGAAGGGCACAAATGGAGGCTTTTAGGATAACCTGACCTATGTACTGGATAATGATAAATGGGTATTATTTGAACATAAAATGATAGCGAAGAACAATATTCTAGGCCTGTGGTGGTGTGCAACATGGTAGCCACTATCCATGTGGACATTTAAATTTAAATTGGTTAAAATGGAATGAAAAATTCACCTCTTCAGTCACACTAGCCAATACTCAAGTACTTGATAGCCATGTGTGGCTAGTGGCTACTATATTGGAGAGTGCATATCAGTTTTATCATTACAGAAAATTCTACTGAATAGTGCTGCTTTTGAGGAAGAAAACAGCATGAACAAAGGCACTGAGGTAGGAAATCTCAGGATAAGTAGAAGGATCACTCAATAGCTTGGAGTGAGTGGAACAGCAGATGAATAAAAGGAAGCAATCGGAAATAAGGGGACCAGAGGAAGCAGGCTACCAGATATGAGGTTCAAACATTACATGTATTTTGCAGGTAATAGGAATCCTTAAGGTCTGAAAGCGGAAAAATGATATGATCAGAGCTATGCTTCTGAAATATAAATATGAACACCAAATATAAGAGTTTTTTGAGTGTCTTTTAGTTTTCAGAATCTGTACGCACCTATTATCTTGTTTAGTTCTCAAAACAAGCCTGGGAATAGGCAGAACAAATATAGGGGGAAAAAGCTTGCAAGGGCATGAGTGACTTGGCCAATGTCACTAGGGAGACAGAAAAATACTGAAAAGAGTCAGAAAAAACAAAAAATTCTTCCAGCTGTGAAAGACAACCTCCTTCCTCCACCACATTGCCCCATTGGTGAATTTTCCTTTTTATAACAGGAGCTCCTGATACACATTACATTCCCTTCCAAGAGGTGAATTACAGTATTAGATTACTGATAACCCTGAAGAGGAGGCAAAAGGCCATGTGACAAAGTGGCTTCAAATATGACATCGGTAAGACACAATCACAACAACAAATTGGAACCATTTAAAAGAAAAGCCTAAGGAGGATTTACTGTCCCCACCAAGGCTGCCTTAGGCTGTGTGCGCGGCGCCCCCTGGAGTTGGTCACCCACAGAAGCCCAGATCATCACCAGCGGGAGAAGAAAGCAGGTCTCATCTAAACGCAGAGGGAAAGATAGAGCTGAGAGAAGTTTCTGGTCCCTTGACAGAGCAGCTTGGGCCTGCCTGGGAACACTATTAAGAAGAAAGCACAGCGCAGGTATTCCAGAAGAGAAAAACTTGGAGATTCTCAAATCATACTTCATGGTTGACTTTGAACTCTGTGTTTGGGAAGATGAGCGTGAATCAGGCCATCAGACCAACTTACGATTGCTTTCTAGCCTCTGCATTCTAGCAGAGATAAGCTAATTAACTTCTCTGACTCTAAATGTTCTCATTTATAAAATCTATAAAATATAATAAATATCAGGATTGTTGAGAAGATTCAATGTGAGATGTATGATGTGTACAACATGCGAAGTGGTACAGTACGTACCCAATACACATAACTTTTAACTCTCCTGAAGACAAGTGTGTGATTTTTAAAACATACGTAAAAAGGCAAATGGGATCTTGCGGTTCCAGACCAGAAAAGTGAAGAACATTTATCAGACTGCAATAAAGTCTGTATTTCAGGTCCCCAGGAATTATTATCCCTCTCTTGGAAAAAAACAAAATTTTTTCCACCTCCCGAGTGAAAAACAGTAAATTTACAGACAGAATATTATCTGTTTCCTTGCCATCCATCCAGCTGTGGAGTTGAAATACAAACTGAGTTCGGGCTTCTGAGAGAAGGTTTATATGGATTTAGTAAGGTGCAAATCCCAGCCCAAAGGTAAAATTTGATATCCGTCACTGATAAAAATGCATTGCTTCAGGCCTGAACTTCTGTCTCCTCCTGCTTTTAATCCTGCTTTCTTTCTAAACGCCAATCAGTGGAGCAAATATTACCGGTCACCTCATTCCCTACATGTTATTACCTCTTTTATACAGTTTGGCGGTATATTCTGGGTATAAATAAGCTACAAATATTTATAGGGCAGGTCCCTCTTCGAGTTGCAAACATGTAACAATCACAACATAGAATGTCAAGAAGTCCTAACTATTTTTCTTTCTTGGTTTCTTCTATTTGGGGAAAAGGTTTTCTTCTAATGCTCATCAGAACAGCTGCCTCTCCCAATCCCTTAAGTAGCAAAGTAAATGGAAAAAGAACATTCTCAAACAAGCCAAATCAAGACCATCGTTTTCAAAGGATTTTTAAAAAATGAAGACAACGATATTTGAAGCAAGAGAAACAAATGCCTTCTAAGGCTTAAACTAAATCCCCTAAGGAGTGGGGGTGAGCAGACGTCTTTTCTTTCCCAAAAGCACCTCCAGTGACTTTAAGGATCTTGCTGGCGTAATCCCTTGCTGACCCACACTAGCAAGGAAATAAGAAAGCCTCCATTTAAAACTACGTTCATCTTCTTCGAAAGGCAGCTGAGAGCTTTGAATGCATTTTGTTTCATCATCGTTTTCCTTGCAGCCCCAATTACTCTAGGTACTTCTGAGTTTCTGGCCATTGAAGATTCTGTTCAAATAGAGGTTGAGTGGTCACGGGAGCAACCTTTCCACGGAGCCCGGGTTCTTCGTGGATGAAACAAATGCCTCTTTAGCATACTGTGTTTGAAGGCGTGGGAGCACTTTTTAGGTCCAAATGCAACCTTTTATAGCATTGAGGGTGGGAAGAACAAAAAAAAGAGAGAGAAAGACAGGGAGGTTCACTTAACCTTTCCATAATTACGCATTCAGTATTTTCCTGCTGTTATTCAATGCACCTCCCCGTATTCTCAGTAGTTCCTCAGTCTGAAGTGTACTGATGAAGGGAGACCATCTTGCCTGGGGCAAGAGAAACCTGGTTTCGCTGAGCTGAAAGTTAGGGTGAGGTGATTCATCACAGCCTGCATCTTTCTGCTTCTCTTAAATTTTCTGCAGAGAATGCCAGGTAGGGCTGCATTACATAGCTTTTAATACTAGAGGCCTTGAAAACCTCCAGATGAAGGTAGGGTGTGGTTGGGAAGAGGACTGCTTATTTTTGACAAGGAGAATTGTTCCTCCCGCCCCTGCCTCCTAAGTAGCTGGGACTACAGGCACACAGGAGCCTAATTTTTAAAAGTTTTTAATTTTTGTAGAGACAAGGTCTTACTAGGTTACCTAGGCAGGTCTCAAACTCCTGGTCTCAAGTGATCCTTATCCTTGGCCTCCCAAAGCACCAGGATTATAGGCATAAGCCACTGCACCTGGCTGCCCTTTTTATAAAGTTGTAATAGGCTGATAGACGCTGTTATATAAAGGTAATTCAGAGGGCTCCTGACCTCAAAAAGTGAATGATCAAGACATTGAGCTTCAATTTTAGATTAAGTAATGAGCAGACTTTGTCCTCCGTCACTTTACTACCAGGGCATCATTGCTTACACTCTGCCCAACATGTGACTCTTTTGTGCACAGCTCCATTTTGAGCCCACCTCAACATTTACCTAGAAGATGCAATGTGGCTATTTTCCTAAATACTAAAATAATGTTGGTATGTATCTAATCTGTTCTCTAACTGGCCAAAGGGGTGAGGGGGACAAGAATCTAGTTCTTTCTGTTCCCTTCTTCTAAACTTCCTTTCACTAATGAAATGGTTTTTAAGTGTATTTTTACTGCTTAAAATAAGGAGGAAAATGAATGATTAGTGTTTCAAAAGTACCTTTTATATTTCTGGGTTAAAAAACAAAAACAAAAGAAAACAAACAAAAAAAAAAGAGATTTCTAAGTTCTGAATACATAAAATGCTGACATGCTGATGCAAGGACAGAGCAACTCACAGTTTCTGGGTGGGAGATTTAACCCCTGAGTCACACATGCCCTGCTCAGCATGTGCTGGGCGAAGCACACAGTTACTACCCTTGCTCTTCTTTCTCCCCTTGGCTTCGTCCACCAGTGTCTGACATGGTTGTAGTAAGAACTTACAGTCCCATCTAACCACACCTCATGCAGTAGAATGATCCATGGAAATAATTACATGCTTAGTAGTTACAGTACTAGGCTGACCCATGCTCTTAAACATGGAGCACACACACACAGTGTGGATTAAGAAAAGAAGACAGGGTACATCAAGGAAAGGGAAGAGTAAGAAGTAAGGTCTCAGTAAGTAGATCTATTAAAGTGGAAATTAACAATTAGCCATTAAAGCCATATTGCAGGTTAAAACAGCACAGGTGGCCTAACTCAGAAATCTGTTATTTTATTTTCTGGTATTTCTCTGGAACATGCATATATCTGAATGATTAGAATACAATGGCATTAACATTACCATATTCTCATAGTAGCTGGAATGTTGAAGAAGATGCCCTGACGGGCCCTGATACATGTATTTGCCCTGACATTGGTATTTAGTGACTTTCTGTCTCCTGGAAAGGGCCAATTGCACTGCAGTTTTGTCCCAAGTTCTCTCTCTTGACTTTACAGAGTTAGGCTGCATATATTTGTCTCCTTCATTCTCTTCTATTTATTAATAGCAGAATGACTTTGGGCAAGGTGCAGTTCCCTCATCTGCAAAATGTAGGTAATAGTAGTGCTTACTTTGTAATTTGCTTTGAGGATGAAATGACTCAATACAAGTGACATGCCAGAACAGCTCCTACCAAATAGTAACTCTTCTGCAGTCATCATCCTCATGCTCATGTTGCCTGCTCACTGGCAACACCTTCCCACCCTCCTACCTCCATGATCTACACCTTATCATGTCTACCTCCTCCTCTCCTTTCCTTTAATCTTCACAGTACCTGTCCTCAGCGACTAAAGAAATTTGAGATTTTTTTTAAATACTCATGTATTCTTCTCTTTGTTATTTACATTCTTTCTTTGGGTAATTCTGGTCTCTCATGCTTTTAAATATCAAACTTATGTGAAAATTTCCTCATTTATGTTTCTAAATACGTCTTTTACTCCAATATCAGATTCCATATATCCAACTGCTATTATTTCCAAGTTGTAACACAAAATTCTCGGCAAAATCTGCATAAGCTGAACTAACAGTTGATGTTCTTCTACACCCTCTCAGCCTCCCAAAGCAGCTCTTCCTGCTCAGAGCCCTCGTAATGACACTATAATCCTGATCTTCCACAGCCCATGTGACCCTCCAGAAAGCACCGAAGTCTCCTTCCTGCCTCAGATAGTTAAGATACTTCAATTTATCCACATTTGAGACCTACGAATTTTCTCAGAATGAATGATTTCAAATGAAAATTTTGCAAATTATATAATGGACATATTTAGTAGTTGTCAAAAATCAATCCTCTGTTGTAATTGATTCCAGTAAGGACAAAATAAGTCATAACTGGAACATTTGTGGGTATTTTCCCTACTTAGACTTACTATCTTAGTGTTATAAGGATTTGGGCCTCTGCCATCTATTTTGTAGCTTGTAAATATCAGTCACTGAACTCAGTGTTGGGATTACAAAGAAATCCAGACATACACTTTCCTTAACCACATGATAGCTTCTTGAACAAAGAAAACATACAAGCAAATTTAATGCACTACTGCACGGCAAATTCTAAAACAACCAATTATTTAGAAGCATAAAAAGGGCAAACTCAGGGAATCTTAGCCCAACATCTCAGCAGTATACAAATATTTTCAGTTTGGGCAAATTAAAAAGATTTGAGCTGATAATTCAGAGGAACCATAACTTTCTTGTCTTTTCTCTCAGTCCTAAGTTTGTTCACCAGGGAAATTTCTCGTGGTTCATTCTGGCATCTAGTGCATATCCTCCTGAAGTTAAAAATCTTCTTTTCTGCTAAATAGGAGTAGTTATACAGTAGTTAAAAATCTCTCCCTCTAAGCTTGATTTTTTTTTTTAGTACACAATTTTCTTCTGTTGTTATCCTCTGTCTAATTAACTAATCAGGATTGGCCTCCTTCACCACATACTTTTAAGAATGGCTCTGGGTCAGATATAGTTTAAATCACCCCATGACAAAAACAGCCTTCGTGTTTTTCAGATTGAAATCACTCATACATTTGAATATTTAATTTTTTTCTTCATCCAAATGGTACATTTTTATAAACATATCTAAGCAACTATGTTTGTTCTGCAAACCAACTCTACTACATAGAACCCAAGGTAATTTAGTGGGTGGGTAGTTCTTCATAAGAACCAGGTGGTTCATTTTGCATGACCATTATTCTAGCTGTCTTACTGCTTTCATAATGTTCTTTCCGTTAATATGTTTCTTTTGCATAATGGAAAACAGAGTTAGACATATCATCCCATCCCACCTTATAGACATATTATAGTGCCTACCCCTTATGTTTTGATCCTTTACTGTGGAGTTAAACCATACTGTAAATTCCTTTGCTGTACAGCACAGGTCTGGCTCCAGTGTGCATAGGGCCACTGTCACCAGAAGTCTTCTGTCCTATTACTTTAAAAATTCCACTCCAAGATCTCCCCTGGCACTGAAGCTTGATGTTATCATTTTATTCCATTTTGTAAGTCGGGGATATTCATTGAAACTTCCAAACAATCTTCTAATCCCAAAAACATTTGTAAGTTCTTACTATGTCAAGGCACTAAACCATATGCCATAATTGCCATCGCAAAAGCACTGAGTGCTAAACTTCCATAAAATAACAGGTGTGTTTCAGCATTACTCCTGCCCCACCTTCACCATCATAGCACTATGATCACAGGGGAATTCTACCTTTAGCAAGAAAGGAGAAATGGTCTCTTCTTTTCTACACCTTTGAATCAAATCAAATTTATGAATTCACTAATGCCCAGCAGATAGAGAAGATGGTACCACAGTTTACATGGGATCTGAGGTGCGCAGCAACAGTGGCATTTACTACCAACGGTGCCAGCTGTCCCAGAAGGAGCAGTGTGACTTGGGCAGTTACCCCATGCCAAGAACTATACCAACAGCACCTCTCTTATGTTTAACTAGTGAGAGGGAGTTTTCAGAAAGTGCTTACACCTCCAATCACAGGAAAAGGCCTATCTGTACCGTTGGAAGTAGAATTATACTTAAAGACAATTTCAAAGCTCACATTTTTCCTAATCAATTGCATAATGCTCACCCTCAAATCGCAAGTTTTGCTCCAATGTGTTGCTGCTTCTATATATTTATAGTCATCAGGAACTGAGTTTCAATATAATTCTCCGCAAGACCTTTTGTAATGGAGTGTTAATATTTTTCAAAAGAATAATTCTGGGACATTTCCCAGATCAGCATCTGGCTTTTTCATAGTTCCCTGAGGAGAAGACATACAAGGGGAAACAGTGGAATAATTACATTTATTAACAGTTTATTTTATGCCTGATTTTTTTTTGCACATCTGCACATAACCCACACTTTCTCAGGTACCAACTGGTTCTGATTTCTTTTATTTGTCTCTCAGTACCTGACATGAATGACAATACCTAGCAGTGCACCACTCAAACATACACATACATACACTTCAGTGAGGATTCAATAAGATTCAGTTCTATAATGCATATCTGTAGTTTGTTGGGTGGAACACATTTTTCCAATACATAAACTCTCCTTTTGTAATGGAATTATCTTTAGGAACTGTCACTAGTCACACTACAAATGGAGGAACAATTAAATAGACAGAACATGGAGACGAGTTAAACATCCCAGACATGGAAATAGAAATACCCTGGGGAACAGTAGTTCTCTAGCTCCACCGAGGCACCAAAAAGAAACAAGTGCAACCATGCAACTGATTGTAAAACGTGGGAAATATGCTGTTTTTCTAGAAAGAGGATCTATAAAATATCTATAAAATGCATTGGGTTCTCAGAAATGTTCCCTGTCCTTTTATATTATCCTTTATTATAGGTCATTATTGAATTTCAAAAGAAATAATGGGAGTATAGATGATATTTTGGTTGTCTAAATGTGGGTAACAGTAAGTTGCATTCTTTGTTTCAACATATAATTTATTAAGTTGCTAGATAACCCTAATGTGAATAAAATTAAGTCTTCCCCAGGGCCAAATGTACCCTCATAATGGTGACATCTGTGGATATAGACAAATATAATTCCAGACACAATAACGTAAATGACCTAAGTGGGGCATAGATAAACTCTTCTGGAATTCTCAGAGGACAATGCTTGTTTGAAATCAGAACAGGAAAAAAATTCATGAAGAGGATGGCATATAAGCAGAAATTTGAATCATTGGGATTTCAGTTGGTGGAAATAATGGGAAAATGCAATCCAATTAGGTAAGTTTTAATATCTTAGAAGTAAAAAGAAGGAAGTAAATGAGTTTGCCTCACTGGAATGTGGGATAATCTTAGAATAAAACACAGGCAAGGCAGTTTGGGATAAACCTTGTGTTAAAAAAAAAAAAAAGAGAACACTTTCATTTCTGAGCAACTAGCTACATAAAATATAAAGAAGTCATAGAAGGGTGAGTGAAAAGCAAAAAGATGTACTTAAGTCATAAAGTATGTCTGCTAAACTGCAAGGATAATAAGTCCTATTATTGGGAAATATCATTGTTTTACTACATGTATTAATAGATTTGCAGATATAAGTGTCAAGGTGTGAACTGAGAAAGAAATAATTATTCTGTATAAGGGAGGAGGTAAAAATGCATTTCCATTTTTAAAAAATTCAAGAAAAAAATTCAGAGGAGTCAGTGAGATTAAGTGTGTTTGGAAAGAGGGTCAAAGGCGGGAAAAAAATCAAGAAAAGTCAAAAAGAGACTTAAGGATTTAAAAAAGACAGCTACATCTAACAAGATGTTTTTAAGTTATTTTCTCAAGGCCTTGTGATATTGGTGCCTTTTACTGTCTCTCCTATGTATAGGACATTCTATGGTGGATGCACAGGAGTGCTGAGTTCTGTATCCACAGGGGCAGAAGTCTTAAGAGGAGTTCTGAAAGCTGGAGTCTGTGACGATTTCACATGACCCTGCAGAGGAGAACCTTAACCTGCAGGGAAAGAAGTCTGGAGTTCATTGAGCAGATAATGAGTTGCCTTTGAAGTTTGGTTTGTTTTTGCTTGTTTGTTTTAATCCAATATGTGCTTTAGAAATATACCTCTGGCAGAAATGTAGAAAATATCTTGGAAGGGGAGGTTGGGATGGAGAGAGACAGATTATGAGACTATTGAAATAATCTGGTCCAGAAGAATTGATAACACGTAAAGTCAAAAGAAATTGATATACCACTGATGTGAGTAATTTGAAAAATGGGATATCAAAGATGGCTCCTGACAATGAAAATGCAAGCTACTTTCAGTAGTCTTATTGTTAGTAGGGATATTATATTAATACCTATTTCAAAACTATTTTATGAATAAGTACATTAATTAAATTAAAAACTACTATTTTTCATTACAAGAGATAATACCTTCAATCAACAAAATTAAGTAAAACAATGCTATCTTAAATTTGATTGTAAATATCACTAGAAACTCACTTTTTTCTTGTACACACATGTATATTTAGCTCTGTTTTCTTAAAAATGCCTAGAAGTATTGAAAACCAATAACAATGAGCACTCCAGATCCTTGATCGTCTCTCAATACCACTTGCACGTCAGTAGGAAACAAGATCCAATGTGAAGATGGTTTCCACTGGCCCAAGATGGAATCCTCCAGTAGCAAGCAGCCACACTCAGAATGTGGAGGATTCAGCAAGGTGGATGACACATTTTCTCCAACAAATCAATGGCATACACAAAATAAGATCAGGATGCTATTTGTGGGATTAAAAAAAAAACTTTAGGAAATATAATGACTAAATACAATATATGGTCCTCATTTAGATCTAACTAGAACAACCTGACTGTTCAGATTTATCTTTGATACAATCAGGAAAACATTGGATGGTATTAAAATTGGCCCATATTTCTCTTAGGTCTACTGTATCATAATGGGAAGAAGAAGAAGGAGAAAGAAAAGTGTCCTTCTAAGTTTAACATGTATTCTCAAGTTTTGTTTGTTTGTTTCTGATGAAATGATAGGATGTCTAGAGTTTGCCTTAAAGTACTCCAGGGAAGAAAGTGAAGCAAAATGTGTGTGGAGGTGAGTTGGGGGTGGGGTAGAGGAGTCGGGGGGAATCAGCTTAGGAACATGTTAAAAATTATTTGAAGCTGAGTGATATGTACATGCAATTTATTAAACTGTTTTCTCTAAGTTCATATACATCTGGAAATTTGCACAAAAACATATTCAAAGAAAAGATAACCCTGAGTTTTAAGCTACCAGGTAGACTATTTTAATAACCATGTAGCTGATCTCTCCACCTCATATATCTCCCTATGCAATTTGTCCCCTAAACTGTTACCGTTTTCTTTGTTTTTTTGATCATGTGACTTCTCAGTTTTCATAGACTTCAGAGGGCCCACACTGCTTGTCAGATTAAGCAGAAAAACATATAGGACTTGCCTTTGAAGTCTTTCTTGCTTTTTTTTTCTTTTCTTTCTTTTTTTTTTTTTTTGAAGTATGATTCACAAAACATAAAAGTAATTATTTTAAAATGAATAACTCAATGGCATTTAGTATATTCACAGTGGTATACAAACAGCACCTCTACTCTAGTTCCAAAACATTTTCATCATTCCAAAGAAAACCCATTAAATAGTTACTTTAAAGTCCTTTTTAATGTGGCCCAAAGTAGAGAGCTGGATATGTCTTGGAATATGGCCCGTACCTTTCTCATTTCATTTTTGCTCACGTTGATTCTTCTTCAGTAATGCCTTCCTTCATTACTGTCCTTAAATAGAAAACCCATTTAAAACCCAAACCAACTCCACCTCATTCATGAAGTCTCTGAAATGTCATTGGTTTGATCTATTTCCCTCAATTCTAATGCTGACAAATCTAACGATGAAAGACTATGTTTTTATGGAATACAATGAACATACAATTTTATTTCATAATTATTTTTAATGATAATAGAGTCAAAGAACCTTAGAAGAAAGACTATTCAAATCCCAACCAGTTCTTTGGGCCATTGCATCTAAGGAGAGAAAAACTGATTTTGGAATCAGAGAAAAACAGAGCTCACACATCTGCACTAGGTAAATGCTCTGGAAAGAGGTTAACTCCACATTAAATCAGTGTGGGAGAGAATGCTACCATGATTGCCAATACTGTCAAAGTTTCTAGCAATAGAACGTGTTCCAAAACAATTTTTAAAACAAATTGAAACAAAACGTGCAGTGAGGCTGAAAATAATAATGAGAAAAATCTATGAGTGTAAATGTTCAGCATTTGAACGCTCTCCACAAGGTCATTACTGGCGAATGCATTTATGTTGGTTGGGCCTGGCATGTGAATTATGCAGGAGAGCCAGAGATTTCCATCCCCACCTGGTTTTACTCCATGGCTTCATCAGTTTCACGGTCCCCAGTCCTGCCAGGAGCAAAGCCTGGCACAGGTGAGAATGAATCACAGAAATCAGAGGAATACTGGAGCTGTAAAAGGCCTATGTGCTTTAGAGGTAACCAAGCCCTATTTCATCATTGTATAGATGAAGAAATGAGTCTCTTAGGAAAGGAGATTGACTTTTGAAAGTTACTTAACTGGTAGAGCAAAGTAAGTCTTAGAATCCCAATATTCTGGTGCCGATTCCAAGGCTTTTTTTCTGCTGCAGAACCTAAATTATGTATTTATATTCATTAAGTTTTAATTAACTTACTTATTTCATTTTTGTGTGTAAAGGATATTCTTTAAAAGTTCAGTTTGCGATTATCTCTCCTTGAAGGTCAAGGAAATCCGACTCAAGGTGAGCATCAAATGTATGTCTATGTTTTTTAAGAAAGTAAAAGATTTACTTAAAGGAATTTGCTGTAATTCCTAAGTCCTGTTATTTCCATATACTATATTGCTAAGGGAGTAATGAGGAAAACAACAAGGAATAAGATAAAAGCCCCACATATGAAAAGAGGGGACAGGGGTAATGTTATAAGAAAACCCACAGCCAAAGTCTAGGCTACAACAGACATACATCCTGTCCTCAGGAATAGGTTTCAGATCTAACTCCAGTTTCTGGCTTTCCTGTAGATACACACTCAAATACAGGCCCAGGTGGGCTGAAGGCCACAGAGAATGTCTAAGGTCTGTCCACCGCCATGACCTTTCAGTTATGTGTTATATTAATTTAGTAGGGCTGCTCTTATAAAGTTCCACAAACCTGGTGGCTTAAACAACAGAAACTTATTGTCTCACATTTCTGAGGCTAGAAGTCCAAGATCAAGGTGTCAGCAAGGTTGGTTCCTTCTGAGGGCCATGAGCAACCTCTATACTATGCCTGTCTCCTAGCTTTTGGTGGTTTTCTGGCAATCTTTGGCATTTCTTGACTTGTAGACTCATCACCCTTGCATTAATCAGCTCAAGCTGCCAGAACAAAATACTACAGACTGGGTGGCTTAAACCCCAGAAATAAATTTCTCACAGATCTGGAGACTGAAAAGTCTCAAGATCAAGGTACGGGTTGATTCCAGTTCTAGTGTGGGCTGTATTCTTCATTTGTAGATGGCTGCCATCTCATTGTGTCTTCACATGGTAGTGAAATGGTTGTGGGGCAGGGAATGAGAGAGAGAGAGGGAGAAAGAGAGAGAGCCCTTTTTATAGTGTCTCTTCTTTTCAGGACACAGATCCTTAAAAGAACTAAGGAGGCATGAATACTGAGACATCACCTAAACTGTCAGATGTCCTGGTCCCAGGAGAGGGTCCCAGGAGAAATTCAATTGGGTCAAAATTCAAATGTTAAAATTCTACCTTGCGGTAGAATTGCAGATGTAATTAATTGGGGATTAGAAATGCAGTTGTTTACAGATGTAATTAGTTAAGGATTAGGGCCCCACCCTTATGAACTCTTATAATCTTCATTACTTCCATGTAGGACCTATCTCCAAATACAGTCACCTCAAAGGTTAGGGCTTCAGCGTAAAAATTGTAGGGGTATACAATGCAACACATAGCAACTCTGATCTCTGCCTTTGCGTTCACATGGCATTCTTCCAGTGTGCATGTCTATCTCTGTGTCTAAATCGCCTCCTTTTTGTAAGGACTCCAGTCCTATTGAATTATTGGCCCACTTTAATCTTAACTAATTACATCTGCAAACAACCCCATTTCCAAATAAGGTCACATTCTGAAGTACTGCAAGGTAGAGTTTTAACATTTGAATTTTGACCCATAGCATGTATATACCCTCTCCTGGTACCAGGACATTCATCAGTTTAGGTGGGGTCTCAGTATTCACTCCTCCATAACAGACCCTGAAACAAAACTTTGCGTGCATGAAGTTATTTGGGAAACACAGGAACTTGAGCAGGGAGTGGGGAAGAGGGCATGATTAAGTCTGCCTCCACAATGGTCACATGGAGAATCCCATTAGTCCCATGGGGAAAATACAGGGAACATTATCCCTCCAGGGAGGAAAAGGAGCAGGGATATTTAAACACCAATTTATTTGTCTGTTGGTGGCCAGTGCCTGTTGTGTCCTCTCTCCCCCTCTTTTTCTTTCTTCATTGTTTGCTTTAGCCTTCTCCAACTCTCTCTGGGGAGAATCCATATTCATGAGCAAAGACACAAATCACCTTCATGCAGCTCTACTCCTGCTCCCTCTGAGTACTAATCTGGATTCCTACCAGTCTTCAGTTGTCATATTCAGGATAATACTTAGAAACATTCATGTTAAACCAGATTCTCTTCTAAGTCTCACATCTGGCATCATAAAATCACCTGTAGGAGAGCCCTACTCTGGATACTAAGCTATGTGTTCCCAACTTAGAATCTTACTCTGGGAACTTGCATGGAATCTGTCTACATTCTTTATCTGCCACTAAAACAGAAAAACAAGCATAACAGATATGAAAAGTATAGATAATTTCCTTATTTACAGTATTTAGCAATCTTAATTTATGTTTATGTCTCATCAGTGAACCCCTGCTAATAAAGATTCAATTTTTGCTTAAATTATTTTGGTCCTAGACTGTGGCTTTCCAGGCCATGTCTAATATCCTTTTGTTCCTAGAACATTTGGTCCATGAACATGACTGTAATAAAAGCAAAACAATCAATCCCAAACCCTCTATCAAGCTTTAAATAGACACAACAAAAAGCACAAAGACAAAAGTGAGAATTACTAGCCCCTCAAAAAAATGTCATTCCCCAATTATTTCAACTTGTCATGGCAATAATAACAGGTCAGATTTACAAATGCCTGAAGCAGGAAGTGACAGGAGCAAGTGGAGAACTACATCAACTGCTGCAAGTTTGAGTAAAATGAAAACAGAGAATTAGCCATTGGGTTTAGCAAAATGCGAGACATTAGAGATCATTATAGGAGGTCTTTCAGTGAAGTGGTAGAAACAAAAACTTGATCAAAATAAATTGGGCAGAAAAGGGGAAGTGAGAAAGTAGAAATAATAAATATGAACAGTTCTTTTAAGGAGTGGAACTGTCAGGGGAGCACAGAAAATAAACAGTATTTGGAGAGGGGTATGAAGTCAAGGTCGAAAGTATGTACTATACAAACACGCACACACGCATACACTTTTAAGACAGACAATATCAAGGCATGTTTTTAAGCCAATAGAAATGATCTAGTAGACAACTGGTGATAGTACAGGGCAGAGGAGGGGGTAACTGGGCATATATTATTAGGTTGGTGCCAAAGTAATTGTAGTTTTGCCATTACTTTCAATGGCAAAAACTGCAATTACCCTTGCACCCAATAATAACTGAATAAAAAAAATTAGTGGACAGGGGTCCTTTGACAGAAGAGGAACCCCAAAGCAAGAAAAGGCAGATGGGGTCTACAAATGTAGGTGGGTATATGGGGTTGGTGGGAACAAGAGATTGTTTTCATCTGATTGCATCTATTTTATTAATAAATGCAACTCATCCTGGGAGTGGGGGCAAAGGTGGGGAGTTAGAGAAAAGGAAGGGATTGGAGTTTTGAGATGAAAGGTTGTATTTGTTTCCTACCACCATAGCAAATTCCACAAACTGAGAGGCTAAAAGCAACTAAAATTTATTCTGTGACAATTCTGGAAGCCAGAAGTCCAAAATCAAGGTGTTGGAATGGCCACGCCCCCCTCTGAAGACTCTGTGGAAGAATCATCTCTTGTCTATCCCAGTCTTTGATAGCTCCTGGCATCCCTTGGTTTGTGGCAACGTAACTCTAATTTGTTTTCTTTTTCACATAGCAGTCTTCCCTAGGCCTCTGTGTTTCCAATTTTCCTTTCCTATCTCTTATAAGGTCACCTGTCATTGTATATAGTGCACACCCTAAATCCAGGATCATTTCATTCTGAGATCTTTAATTATACCTGCAAGAAGACCCTATTTTCCCAAAAGGTCAAATTCGCAGGTACTGGGAGTTCGGACTTGGACGTATTTTGGAGGATACCATTCAACCCACTATAGAGGTGGTATATCATAATCATCTAGAAGAATCAGGAAAGTTATATAACTAGGAAAGTGTAGAGAGACATCTTGCAATGTCAAGGGTCCATATGAACTTTTGATAATAATTTGAAATAAGACCATTCTACATACTTGTGTGATTTTCCTTGGCAATATTCTGCTGCTTGAATGCCAACATGAACTAAGTGGGTAGTTAATTTAACCAAAGTTGAAATTTTGTGAGGCATGCGTAATAAATAGAATGACCAGGATATTATGAACCCTGAATAGACGTGGCTATGTAGTGTCGAACTATAGTGTAGTACATAAAAGGTGAGGACAAGAGAAGAGAGATGAATTGTCAAAGTGTCAATGGATTAGAGGTCATTATAAGGTTAAAAAATAATTGAAATGGGGCTGAGGGTGTTTGAATGAGAATGAGTAGAAAGTAATGGCTGGGGGATAGGATGCTTAAAATCGAGATTTCGGAGATTAGGGTTTCTCAATTCTAGCTGCCCGTTAGAATAATCAGAGATTCTGAATTAATTGTCTGGGGTAGGGCCCTGGACTTGGTATTATCCCAAGAATTACTCATATACAATATATATGACCATGGCCCTATGAAAATGTATGAAGGTACTGTGGAGGAAATAAAAATCAGTGGAGGTGAAATAAGAGATCAGAATATTACAAAGATCTCCCCAGGAGTAGGAGGAAATGTGAAAACCTCACGGGATAGGGGATGATTCTTGGGAGGAAGACATGATGTAGGGACCTCAGGACAGTGGATAACTCTCTAGGATAGTTTTTCATGGCAAGCATGAGTACCACAAAGCCTGAAAGAGATGATCAGGCCTAAGAAAATCATCCTTCGTATCATTATTTGGTATTTTAAAATGGTACATGTATTTAATACAATGATCATTTTCCAGGGAATAACTTGACAAAACAGCAGCTGGCTTATACCTTAGAATTATGCCAGGAATTACCAAACAATTCAAGAGACTCTGACCTGCCACCCCATCTCCCAAGTTGCTTCTGTCAACCTGAAATAATCAAAAGGATTAGAATCCAGTTTTAAAGCTTATTTGAGTGAAAACCTGGGAATTGCCATCCAGGAGACACAGACTTCAGATAAATGAGGTCAGTGCCCCAAAGACAAAAGTTAAGTTCTTGTTTATATAGGCAGAAAACAAAGAAGTTTAGTAAGATTATAACATTTTATGTACAAGGCTGGTTTATGAGTTACAACAATTTAATTAGGTTGTTTTCTTTTCCGTAGGGTTGGCTTTCATGTTCTTTCCACTGTAAAAGTGTATTTAACATTTCATCTTAAGACAATGTGATAGCCATGAGTTCTTTGTGTGAGAAAGGTAAGAGGGAAGTTAATCTATAATGGAGATCAAGGGTGAAGAGGGAAGGAGGCTTCCCTGGTGCCCTTTAGTCATTTACAGCATTTTACAAAACAGTGTAGGTAAGGAAGAAGGCTAATCTATAATCAGAGGAACACAGATTACAGTTGCTTAGGTTGCAGCTGCCTGCCATGTAACTCAGGCCTTGTAATCACATTCCTTTAAGGCTCAAAATAATTTATAATTCCAACAGCTTAGATTTTGAATTACTTATTTTCACACTTAAAACCTAAGACCACTGCCAACACCTCTCTCTGTCCTCCAGGAAGAGAGGACAGGGCTTATGCTGGATTGTTCATTATTATTGCCACTGCCTCTCTCTGTGGCTGCCATTATCTAATGATCCCGAGAACCAACTCTTGGGCCTCTCCATTTATGTTGTCTTTTCTTCCTTAAACACTCCTTTACCTCTAAGAGATAGCCTGTGATGGCTTCAAAGATAGCCCCCAAATTCTCTCTTAATCCCTTTCTTCTTGAAGTGGACCGGACTTAGTGATTTACTTCAATTAATTATCTAAAGATGGATATAATGGAATAATACTTTCAAGATAGAATTATAAAAAGATTTCAAGTGGGGCTCACACCGCCAATCTTATTTTGCCTGTCAGCTCTGTTTGTTTTTAGGTATTCTTTTACAGAATACAAGAGTTTTTTGGCAATATTTATATGATATTAGAGCAGATATGCCTATATTTTTTAATCCTAATTAGCAAAGTGTCTATCTTCAACAGGCTAAGTCACCAACTCTTCTCTGTCTCAGTACTGCTTACTTTAATTATCTGTTTGTTATATATTAGTTTGTTTCCCCTAACGAGATCTCTTTACAGGTATGAATGTCTATCATAAGCTACTCAACGTCAAACACCACACTATACATTTTTCTTTTACGATTTGTTGTCCATATAGTCAAGATATCGGTTGAGAATGCATCTTCAGGGGAGGACAAGGTATAGAAGCCATACCTTGAAATATGGTTGCTTTGAGTATTTTATGTAGCATAAAATTGCATTTTATTAATTTTAAATACCTTTAGACAATAACCAGGCCAATTGTCTGTACAGAAGAAATACCCCCAAATACAATATTTCTTTCCTTCTAAAGATGGCTAATTTTTCATATCTCATCACAAGCATGCCCAAGTAGATGAAACAGAAGCATATGCATATATAATAATCATGTATTTCAGTTCCTCATTCTTGGTTGAATGAAGTGAGTATTTAGTTCAGTTTTGGCCAGGTGGTCTTGAGAGCCCCCATTTATTATGAAGTTTTTCATTTGTAAGGACAGAAGCCATTGCCTAGTTTTTCTTAAGTAAAACTGTCTCTGTTGAAAAGATGTCACATTTTATCATTCACTGAAAGTTAATTGATCTGGAGCATTAATAAAACAATGTCTTATATTTACATGGTTCTTTATATTTACAAACAACTTTTCATATTCTTTCTTCTTTGACCTCCCCAACAGATGTGGACCTAAATATACAGCAGGCTTTTCTATTTCTATTTTTCAAATGAGGGAAACAGAATTGCAGTGAAGTTAAATGACTTGTCCAAATCCCACATCGAGTAAGTTATGGCATCAGAAATTGAACAAGGACTTCTGAGGCCATGATGTGACTGATTGATGTCCTCATGCATTAAATCACCAGAAGGAAAGACTATCATTTACACATGAGCAAATTCAGGTCTGGTAGTTTTTGTTACATATGCTTAAACCTTCTTGGGAACAGTCCTCATGCTCTATATTATGTGAAAAGCACAGAAAGCCTCTCCTGCAGTATAACAATCTGTCTTTCATCACACTCATTTGTGTTTCACATGACTGAGTTTGCTGTTTAGGGAATCATCGGAGTACAATTCCAAATGGAGAAAAATCAGATAAAACCCAGTGTTCCTGGCTTCAGTCTGTGTGATTATGAACACAATACTGTACTTACAGTAGGATGCCAGAATGAATAGACGCTGTTGCCTTTGAAAGGATGAGCATTCGTTCGACCTAATAACTACCTGACGATGGGTACAATTATCTTTCTCCGAGTGGCACATTATTATTTGACACATTAATTGTTGTGTCATTTCTTTCTGAAAGGCATGTTGGGTGTCTAATACAAACCAGAGGCTTCATGAATTAGCCATGTCCGAGTGGTGCAGCACTAATTTACTTTTCCAAAATAAAATCAACCCAATCTCGTCACCTGTTTTCAATTACCACAGGCGGACCTGAGCTGCCCTGTGACCTCAATGCTTTCTTCCTGTGCCTTGGCATATCTGATGAACATCAGCAAGGGCCCCCTTACTCACTACAGCTATGAAAGGCCCCTCCTCTGAGGCAAACCACAGAGAGACACATAGCTTTGCAGAATGGAACATCCTTTATGACATAATTTCTGCCCAGGAAGCATTGCACAAGAATATTAGCATGGTCTCCTTTCTGTTGTATCCATTCCACCTTGGTTTCTTTCCACTCTTTTCTAGGAAGGGGTCTTTGTATGGAGGACTGTTTCCAAAGCACAAAGACTCTATGGTCTTAGCAAGGCCCAAACATTTAAGTCTGGATGATCTTCTTCCTTTGCTGCAGCTGCTCTTTGACATCCTGCACAGGGTGATGGGCTGGCGGCCCTGGGTGTGCCTCTGGGCCTGTCATCTGTCGTGTTGTTAGACTGCTGATGAGCTGTCGCTGCTTGTCTTTAAAGTCTGCACTTCTCTCTTTTCCAATTTTGGCTGCCACTAGACAATGAAAATCAAGCAGCCACACAGCCCTTTATCCCCTTCCAGATCCAACTGGTTGAATCAGTCTTGGAGCAGAAAACAGAACCTTCCCATTGTCTTCCCAAACACATGGGGTGTGCCTGTCCCATGGCAAATTACTGTTAAAAAAAATCAGAATTAGAATGTGTTTGACATTGCACACTTTGCTGCTAGTGAATGCCATGCCACCCTGAAGACTCATCTCCCCTTTTGGTTTTCATTGGGTCCTTTTCTGTTGCTTTCTTTTCAGCTTGCACCTGTCCCTGACATATACTGCTGCTGACTACCAAGTGAGTTGTTCAGTGAGCTAGAGGAATGATAAATTAAATATGATATGTATCACTGAATCCGTCTTTGGCTGCTTTATTGTACATTGTAATTTGGGAAGGGACTATTAAAATAAAATACTAAGGAATAAGCAGAAACAGCCCACTGTTAACATGTCCAATGGCAAGAAAAAATTACAGGTTTCATTGTATATGCGGCACCATCTGCCTCTTTGCCGAGGCTGAGCCTTCGGCTTTCCCAGGGGAAATAGCTGTGGATAAGTTATTCAATTAGAACAGCATTATTGGCCAGCTACCTTGGAGAATTGGGTTGATGATGTTGCGATTATCCTCCCGTACATTCCTTCATGTCTCCGGCAGGCTGCAGTGCACGGCAACTTCCTTAAGTGTTTACTGAGCCCTACAGTAGAGGTGAACAATTGGAATGAAGAATATCAAGGATTCCTGAAAGAAAATCAATTTTGAATGAACTTTTCTTGCTTAGCCACAGCTCCAATATTCTGAGTCATACTGTATTTTTGTGGACTTTCATTGAATTAAGTGACATAAATGGCAATCGGGAGGAAAGTGAATTTCATGATATGCATTTAACCTATGGCACTGCATAAAATAATTATTTATGTACAATTGTAAGGTAACAAAAAATACTCAGGTCTCCTCAACTGTGATATTAATCTTAGGCATGGGGAAATCTCATAGGAGCATAATGCTTTTTTAATGAAGACTTTAGCTGTTCTTCAAAAATATTTGTATCATAAAAAGGAGTAATTATTTATGAGTCACTCTCTCAGGAAGTCAGATCCCTTCAAGGGTCATGCCATCAACCAAAAACTTCCTAAATGGGAGCTTTTGGGAATGTTCATTGTTATCTCTAAGATCCTATGGTTTGTAACTAGAAGACCCAACAATATTCCTCTTGCCTCACACAAATATTTATAATATTTTTATATTTTTAAAAATTGTTGGTGCTTAAAGAAAGTTAGACACAAGGAAAAATATTAAAATCTAAAACAATTTATTTTCACAATTATGTATATACACATCCAACTATGCTCTGGTATGCCAAATATTTTCAGGGTGCATATCCACACCCCAGGGGCAGTTCAGGTGATCTTCTATGACTGTTAATTGGGCAGGAAAGCAAATGTGCTCCTCATCACTGGTTCAAATTCTGATGGCTTTGGAAGATATCTGTCTGTATTTCTGTTTTTATAAATTGGAAGAATTATGTTTATATTCTTTGTCTGTGTGTGTGTGTGTGTGTGTGTGTGTGTGTGTGTGATGCTGATATTTTAAGATACTCATTTTTAAGAGCCTCTTATATATTAGGACATAAACCCTCTATTGCAAAAATGTTTTCCCCCAGCATGTCATTAATTTTCATTAAGTTGTTGATATTTCTGATGTTCAAAAGTGTTATTTGCAAGTAGTCAGATCTACTTTTTCACTTGTGTTGTTTTCACGACATTATGTGTAAAGTCTTCACTTGAGATAAGTTAAATATTTACTTACATTTTCTGGGTTTAAAAGTTGAAATGTATTTTCTTTTAACTAATCCATTAGATATGTATGCACATATGTTTGTCTGTGTGAATGTATGTATTTAGCATAGAATGGTCTAAGATAAATGTATGTATGAGATCAGGCTATATTATCAAAAACACTAACATCTCAGTATCTGAGCACACATTTTTTTCCTTGCTCGTGTAAAGTTCATGTGTGTCCTGAAAGCTTTTGGATAGATGCCCTCCACAACAACAACAACAACAACAACAAAAACAAATTAAGAATTTGGACCGCACTTTCACCTGTTAAAAGCCTTTAAGCTCTGTTTTTCAGAGTACTTCAATCTTATGGCACCCCCATCTCAACTCAAAGCTCTGGGTTCACTGTGGAAGAGGAGGAGAATGTGGGAAATGGGTCCATCATCTCTCATGTACTTTGGGCTGGGAAATCATGCATTGCCTCCTGATAGACACAGCCGGGCTACGGGACCAGTCATCTAGCTACGGCCTACTGACTAGAGGAGTGAAAAAGGAGAACTGGAAATATTGCTAAGGACTGGTAGTATCTGCCACAATTTACCCTTTTGTTTCTCCAAATATTCAGTGCAGTCTCCCTCTGGTATAGATATGTATGACAATTATACTCACCTCCCCTCTAAGAGAGAAAACCCCGTGGTCTTCCTCAGTCATGGCATTGAGCTCAAAGTCCAGAATTCAGAATCTCTGAGTGATAGAATTGTCCTTCCGTATCCATGGGGGCTTGGTTCCAGGACCCGCATAGATATCAAATCCACAGATGCTCAAATCGCTGATATAAAATGGTGCAGTATTTGCACATAACTTATACATATCCTTCCATATACTTTAAATCCTCTTTATATAACTTTCAACACCTAATACAATGTAAATACTATGTAAATAGTTAATACTATATTGTTTTATTTACATTAGTTTTTATTGTTATATTGTTTTTATTGGGTTTTTAAAAAATATTTTCCATCCACAGTTGGTTGAATCCTTGGATACAAAGGGCCTACTGCATACTGTACTCTCTATGTCAAGTCTATAGGTAGCTCCCATAGCTTTGGAAACCTAGCAACTAAAATGACAAGTTATCTGGCACTTACACATCTCGTAATTGAAAAAGGAAACAGGAGTCCCTGTTGCTGAAAAATTCTGTCCTTCCAGGCAGACGTTTTTTGAGCCCCCTACCTTCACGAGGCCCGGACTCTGCTCTCCTGGAGGATTCAACTTGGTTCTTGTTCTCTGTGTCTTCTGTCTCCACCCTCAGGGAGATATTTGTCCTTTCCTTTCTCCCTTCTTGGGCTCATATAAAATAGATACTAGAGAATATGAAGTTTTCTTAGCCTACTTCCTACCCAGGGCCCGAGAGGTGTTTTAGCAAGCCGCCCAGGGCAGCTTTGAATGCAGCCTAACACAAATTTGTAAACTTTCTTAAAACATTTTGAGGTTTTTTTTTTTTTTTTTGGTTTTTGTTTGTTTTTTGGTTTTTGGTTTTGCTTATCACCTATCACTAGTGTTAGTTAGTTAGACAATTCTTCTTCCAGTGTGGCCCAGGGAAGCCAAAAGATTGGACACCTTGTTTTAGAGTCTCAAACACTTTTAGTGCAGGCTCACAGTTTCTTAAGCAATACAACTCTCTTAAAACTTTGTTGGTTTTTCTAAGCTATTGGATTCCAATTAATTCCATGTGCCAATAATTACAGCTACGATTCTTTACCTAACACACTTCTTACTTCATCCGTATTTCTTTACACTCTTGTGCCTGTACCTCTCCCTGCTTGAAGACCTGGTAGTTTTCCTGAGTCTATCTGGATTTGATGAGAGAATGGAACCCTTAAGCTCTTTTACCTGAGCTATTTTTCCGATTGAAAAGATTACTGGGCCTCAGGCCCTTAGTTTGATCTTTACCCTAAGGCATTTTTATCTCATTAATTCCTTTTTATAAGTAAAAGTTCAGTTTAAATCTATTATTTATTTTTGTTGTTGTTGTTTGTTTGTTTGTTTTTGAACCAGCTCAATTTTAAAGTCTTTTAACATTTTCTCTTTTACCATTTAGGATTGAAAGCAATTACTGGTTTAACTCATTCAAGACCCCAAATATCTGAACTATTTCCTTTCATTCTTGCTGGCAAACAGATAATACTTTTCAGAACTGTTTTTCTTATAATTCCTTATCAAATACAGCCCATAGCGACCAGCACAGATAAATACCTGCTTTGCGAGATCTCACACTAGAGACACACATTCATTGGGTACACATTCTGCCTCGCACATTATCAGAGGGGACAGTCTTACCAAATGAGTTCCCGCTGCAAAACTTGGCGTTCCGTCTTTCTAGACACAGGTGTCTGCAACAGAGGAAAGAGCATGGACAATCATTCACTGGCTCCTAATTAATTTATCAGAGCCCATTGATCAGAAAGATAAATGTAGCTCTGCAAAACATAGTATGTCCACAGAAAGGAGGAATATTGGAAATATTGGTAATATCTAGAAATCTCTATGCAAAGAAAACTCTAATTTGTGTTTTCTTCCAAAAGACAAATTTTCCTAATTTGTTAAATATCCCCCTTTACCCATTGGTCCTTTTAAAAATAAAACATTTCATAATCTGTCACAGGAGTAGAAAAATAACAATAAAATAAATACTTCAGACATAGTTAGGGTTACAAGGAATAAATAAACAAGTATTTGTGGATACCTACTGTCCAGTGCAAGAAATTAAATTCCCCACCCAGTAGCCTATCCAATTACATTTACTTTCCTACCCAGTTATCTTTTTAGTTATCTTTTTTTTTTTTTTTTTTTTTTTTTTTTTTTTTTTTTTTAGACAGGTTCTCACTCTGTCCCCCAGGCTGGAGTACAATGAAAAGGAAAGATCATGGTTCACTGCAGCCTCCAACTCCTGAGCTCACATGATCCTCCTGCCTTAGCCACCCAAAGCACTGGGATTACAGGCGTGGGCCACTGTGCCTGGTCTTATTATTATTTTTAATTACGCATAAATTGAACATATTTATGGGGTAAGGTGTGAGATTTTGGTACCTGTTTACAAGGTGTAATGATTACATCAGGGTGATTATCACATCCATCATTTCAAACATTTATCGTTTCTTTGTGTTGGGAACATTTAAAATCCACTCGTCTAGCTATTTGAAAATATACAATAAGTTGTTAACTGTAGTCAGCCTATTGTGTGATAGAACACTTAACCTATTCTTCCTGTCTAGCTGTACTTTTGTATTGGTTAACCAACCTCTTACTACATAGTTCCCACATCCTTCCCTTCCTCTAGTAACCACTACTACACTCTACTGGTATGAGATCACATTTTTTAGCTTCCACATGTGAATGAGAATACATGGTATTTGTCTTTATGTGCCTAAGTTATTTTGCTTAACAATGTCCTCCAAGCTCATCCACATTCTGAGTTCTCAAGTATTAGTGTTAGTCCATGTCATGTGTGTCTATTGATTTTTATTGTCAATTAATTCTAACATTAATATCATACTCTTATTTATTCAGGTTATATAGTATGCATTTCTTAGTTCATTTTCTGTTGCTTATAACAGAATACCTGCAACTTTGAAATTCATAAAGAAAAGAAGTTTCTTTCTTACAGTTATAGAGGCTGAGGAGTAAAGCAGGAGGGGCTGCATTTGGTGGGGGCCTTCTTGCTGGGGGAGACGCTGCAGATTCCCAAGGCAGAAGAAGTTATCCATGGTGAGGGGGCTGAGTGTGCTAGCTCAGGTCTTACTTCCTTTCATTAAGCCACCAGTCCCCTTACCACGATAACTTATTAATCCGTTAGCCCACTGGTTTATTAATCTACCTAGGAATAGATTAATTCATTCATGAGAACAAAGCCCTCATAACCCAATCCCCTCTTAAAGTCCCTACCTCTCAACACTGCCACATTCGTGATTAAGTTTTGGAGGGGACAAACTTTCAAACCATGACAATATTCTAATATCTGATAGGACAAGCACCCTTCCTCTCCCTTTATGAAATTATTATTTTTTTAATTTTACTTATTTTTTTATTCTTCCTCCAGGAAATGTAAGATTTTAGTCAAGTTAAAGAAGTTCTACTGGAACTTTTATTTGGTTGTCTTTAAAAGTATGCATTAAATTAAAATAATAAAAATATTTCAGATATTCCATCTTTATATCTACTAGTCTGGCATGTTTACATTTTAAAATTATCATAATTCTCTAGAAAATATTATCTTTCCTTCATGTAATTATCATGTTCTTTTTGTTATAGAAATACCTAAGAATTTTATTTCTGTTGTGATTTGATCTTTTATTTTTTCATCAGTTTATAGATCAAAATTTATAAGACATAGGAAAACAAAGCATTTTTTTCACTTGTTCAGTGCATGTATTAAATGCTTAATAACTTTAAGTGATTTTTTCCATCATTTTTCTGGGTTTAATAATTATATAATCTATTAACAACAATTTGTCTATTTCCTATCACTACATAGCTAATTTCTACTTCATATTTCATTGTAATTTTCAGAATTTTAAGAATGTAAAAATAATAAGTCTATTAATAAGGATCATTGCTTTATTAATTATTTTAATGAAATACTTCTAAAACTTTCAATTATGATAAAAATTTAAGATTGCAATGTTTATCATATTGAGTTATCTTGCCATATCTAGTTTTACCAAAAAAACAGTCAGCAAGAGATGTTAAATTTTATTAAAAGCCTGTGGCCTTTAATTCATATTCACATGTGTTTTGGTTTGCTTTGGTTGAATTTTACCCATGAGCAGTGGTGTATCAAGGGCATGCAGTGGGAGCTGTCTGGCCTGGGTACAGGCCATTGTTTAGAATTTAGAGCAACAAACATGTTTTGTCTAGGAGGAGTGTTTTATCTCTGACATTATATAGAATTGAAAGTACATGATTATAATAAAAAGCAGAAGGACTTTTATTAATTTTATTGTGGTTTTAAAATGCTCTACAACAGTGTATCCTTTTGTAATTATAGCCAGGGCTGATGGCTCCCACTATCCTGTCTCTGGTAAGACATTGCTTATCACCCCTTGTAACATAATAGATTTTCCAAAATAAGCCATCCTTGCACTCCTATGAATAGATTAATACACTTATGAGAACAGAGCCCTCATAAGCCAAACACCTCTTAAAGTCCCTACCTCTCAATACTGCCACAATGGGGATTAAATTTTAGACGGGACAAATATTTAAACCATGGCAATATTCTAGTATCTGATAAGGGTAAGCGCCTTTCCACTCCCTATTTGGAGAATTCTTTTGTATACATACTGTGTAGAATTTAGTTTGTAGGTTTTCTGCAGAAAACTTACATTATATTTATATTATATTTATATTATAGTTATAACTATATACAAACTATAAATATACTGATATATTAAACATAACTATATATAAACTATAAATATAACTATATATTAAATAAATATAAATAAATATGTTTATATTATATTTATATTATAGTCATAACTATTAACTATTACATTATATATATTTTATTTACATTTATTTTAGATATATACTATATAATATCTTCTATTATATATTATATATAAAATGAAGTAATACTTTTGAATAGAAAACCTATAAATATATAATGAAGTAATCATTTTTAATAGAAAACCTACATCTATATATATATATATATATATATATATATATTTTTTTTTTTTTTTTTTTTTTTTTAATTTTTGTGACAGGGTCTCATTCTGTTGCCCAGGCTGGAGTGTCTTTGCCCAGTCATAGCTAACTGCAGCCTTGGACACTTGGGCTCAAGTTATCCTCCTATCTCAGCCTCCAATGTAGCAGAGACTGTAGGCACATGCTGCTGTGACTGGTTAGTTCTTTTCTTCAGAAACGTTTTTTGTAGAGATGTGAGGGTGTCCCACTATGTGGCCCAGGCTAGTCTCGAACTTCTGGCTTCAAGTCATCCTCCTGCCTTGGCCTCCCAAAGCTCTGGGATTACAGGCATGAGCTACTGTGCCTGACATTAATTCTATATTTATATTAAGAATTGGTGTATAATTTTGTGGGGTGGGGGGTGATCAGACATATCATACTTTCATGTCAGAATTGTATTTACTACATAAAATAAATTAGCTAATTATCCTTTATTGATTTTTAACATTTATTTAATTTTAAAGTGTACATTTACTTATTCTACACCCATTAACTTGAGAACAGAATACATGGAAGAAAACTATTCCTTGAGAGTTTGAAATAACTATCCATTAAAGTGTCTGAGTATTTACTTAGTAAATTTTAAATTGTCTTTCAAGTTTTTTTAATTAGAATTTTTACTTTTCAATAAAGAAAATAAACATTTCACTGATATTTTAAAATAGTGACAAAGCTTTTTTACAAATTTTGTCTTGTTATTTTACCCTATTATTCCTTATTTTGTGTATCTGGGTGAGTTCTAGTACTCCTGAATTATAGTTTTCAGAATTCTGTCTGCAGTTCTTTCATGCTACTGGAATTTAATTTATTATTTTTTCTACTACTCTGTATTTTGATTTATTGACTCATACTATTATCTTTACTAATTTCTATTTTTTTAAACTTCCCTAACTTTTGGCTCAATTAATATGTCTTTCTCCTGATACTTGTTTAAGGAGCATTAAGGAATAAAATGGACAGTTAATGGATAGTGGTATTATTTTCTTTATATTCTATAAAATCTAACATTATTTTAGATTTTTCTTTGATACAGTATTATTCAGGAGAGCTTAAATTTCTATATATTTTTTCTTTTGTCAGTTTCTTATTAATAATTTTACTATAATTATTGAATACGATCTGTTTAATTTGTGTTTTGGGGCAAATGAATTTTTGTGGCCTAGTTAATGATCTTGAAACTTTGTTGAAATATTGTTTTATTAAAAATTATAATATTTATCAAAAGGTCGCCAGATTAAACAAAAACTCAATTTTCAAGTGAAAATGATCATTTGGCATCCTGGCATGGTTCAGACAAAATGTACTTCTTTCCAAGAACGTTCAATAGTAATTGAATTGGTGTCACATCACTTTTTATATTTGTACCCAATATAGAAAGACCTGGGTTCAAATACCAGCTCTGCTACAAGTGCTGTCGTTTGAATGTGTCCTCCAAAAAGCATGTGTTGGAAACTTAATCCCCGATGTATCAGTGTTGGGAGGTGGAGCTTAACAGAAGGTGTTTAGGTCATGAGGGCTCTACCTTCGTGAATGGATTAATGCCAATTTTAAAAGAGCCTGGGTCTGCAAATTCAGTCTCTTAGTTTGCTAAGATCTCTTTGCTCTTCCACCATGGGATGACACAGCAAGACACCCCTCACCAGATGCAGCCCCTCAGTTTTAGACTTCCCAGCCTCCAGACCGTGAGCCAAATAAATTTCTGTTCATTACAAACCAGGTACAGGTATTCTGTTATAGCAAAATAAACAAATTAAGAAAACAAGTCACTAAATTCTGACCTCTTAGTTTTCTTGTCAGCAAATGACAAGAATAATACCAACTTTGAGGTGTCTTGTGTGAGAATTAAATGAATTAATGAATGTCAAGTGCAGTGTCTGCCAATAATCGACACTATAAACCATTGGTTCTTCCTAATTTCATTACTTCTGGGAAGAGGTTCTTTTAATTACTTTTGAGACTCTGCTGATTCCTTGCTCACTCTGTCTTTTTTTTTTTTTTTTTTTTTGAGACGGAGTCTCGTTCTGTCGCCCAGGCGGGAGTGTTGTGGCGCGATCTCCGCTCTCTGCAAGCTCAGCCTTCCGGGTTCACGCCATTCTCCTGCCTCAGCCTCCCGAGTAGCTGGGACTACAGGCGCCCGCCACTGCGCCCGGCTAATTTTTTGTATTTTTAGTAGAGACGGGGTTTCACCGTGGTCTCGATCTCCTGACCTCGTGATCCGCCCGCCTCGGCCTCCCAAAGTGCTGGGATTACAGGCGTGAGCCACCGCGCCCGGCCACTCACTCTGTCTTGAGTACACTTTTTCATTCTGTTCTCTTGGCTCTCAGTATAGTTAGTCATCTCTACAGTCTGTCTTGAGCATTAGCAGTGAGGGGATTTTATATCTTCCCAGCTTTTGACAGAAAGAATAACTGCTGTTCTTATAGCAGTTATAGGCTGAAATTTTATCTCCCAATTCCCTAAAGCATGGATTCTTTGACTTTTCCTGAGCAAAAGTATGGGGAGACCAACCAGAGAATTGTACTGTTTGGCCATTTCACAAATTCTGTCAAGAGCATAACAGGTCTCCTCAGTGTATATATATCTAATCTATTATGCTTGTAGCTTACTATAGAGATGATTTGTTTGTTCTAGCAATTTTCCACGTTAAAAATGTACACAAAACATTGAATTATTGCTAAAGGTTCTGATTAACTTACATTTTGAGCTATGATATAGAAATATGACTTGCTGGTCAATAAATAACTAACAACATATTTCAAAAACAACTAAATGATTGTGGAATATTTTAATTGGTTGTTTGGAAAATGTATATTTTAGCCCAAATCTGAGTACATATTAATTACTTAGCATTAATTCTTGATTTTTTAATTTCAGTTTGAAGAAGAAACAGAAAAGCTTCTCTATGAGTTTTAGAAAAAGTACAGTCATCATTTTCTTTATTTTTGCATAACCCCACATAACTAAATATCATTTTGCCAAAATACTTATGTTTCATTTGCCTTCGAAAACCCCTAAATTTTTCTGTATTCAGAAAGCATTCACCTGGCCATTAACATAAGATCATTGCCATTTGTTTGCAGAGATATTCCTGTTAATAATATTACTATGTAAACACGTCAGTTAGCAGAAAAGGTCAATATATGACAATAGTTCTTTTGGCAAAGAACATAGCCCGAATCTGAAGAGCAAATAATATGAGAGCATTTAAGTAATCTTTGTGAGATTACAAAATATGGATGAAGTTTGTAAGTTAGTGAATAAACAGATCATCAGAGATAGCATACTTAAAATTAATTAACTATTGAATATCCCTCATAAAATACTCCTAACAACACAGTCTGAATCTTCAGATGTCATATGTCACATAGTAATTATTATCATTTGTATTAATTGTGTGTTTCATGGAATAATGTAAGACTTCATACTAATGACTTTATATATGTTAGATAATATGCTTGTCATATTAGATAATATACTTGTCATAGTTGTATAATATAACAACTATGAGTTGTTATATTATCTTTTTTGTTAACTTAATCACAGGGCTTGTTAATGTTGGAACTAGTTTTCAAATATAGTTGATCTTCCTCTCCTATATAGATGGATCTCAAAATTTCCTACACACTTTCCTTCATGCTGCAACATTGAAACTTCTTTTTAACAAAAACTGACTTAGTACCAAGAATGGGATTGCATCTAGGAGGAGTCACAGTATGGGACTTCAGGCCAGTAACCTGGTAACAGGCAGAAAGGACACAGATATTACAGGCTGGAAAGCTGGTGGACTAGAGTTATTACATGGAAAAATATTTGTAAACATGTTTCTAGTGAGTTATTGTAAACAGATTACATACTAATCAAGGATGTGGCATTAAGGAAAATGGGTAGGACATTTAAAAATTTTAATATAATTGGCTCACATGAGAGAGATGTACGTGGGTTTCATCCATCAAGTTTGCTCAGATTAAGGAAGTTCTTTCTGCTTGAGACAAGAAATTTATGTTGACTGGAATTCTGAAAATTTGACAACACATGGGGCTGAAAAAGTTACTTGGGGAATTCTGAGAATACAGTGATATCATGGTTTTTAATCTCTGCAACTCCCTACCCCTTATAAAAAGACAGAATTTTAAAAAATAATTTTAATAAAAGAACCTCACACTCACCAACTACATCAAAACTAGGTAATATAACATCACTATGACTCCCCCAAATAAAAGTGCATGGTGACAAATCAGCTAAAAGACCTGTCTTGTATATGCATATATGCAGGAAGAAGTGAAGAGAAGCAACAGAACCTCTGATAGACCCTGACAGGAAACTCAAAATTGCCAACAGCTACTCTGCAAAGTGTGACAAGCTAATCGAAGAATAGCAGCGGAAACTTGTAGGAGGTTTTGAAGGATCCAACTGGTGATTGAGTACAGTGTTTACCAGACTTTCTGAAATTTGGAGTATTCTGCTCTATGAACTCTCAAAATAATCAGCCAAATCTCCTTCCAGGAAAATTCCCCAATCAGATGATTCTTTTGGGAGTAGAATCCAAATTGATCAAAACAGGGATCATAGGGGCAAATAAATTGAAATGGTCAGAATAAACATATGGGAAAGGAACATAGCCAGGAAATCTCAAAAAGTAAGAGGTCATGCTTTTGAACACTTCATGAAATTCACTAAAGAGTATTATAAAACTTTTTTTTTTTAAAGGAGCAATGTATTTATTTGGAGTAAAGTTGATTCAGCCCCTTCATTTATTCATTCAACAAATATATCTTGAGTGTCTCTTAGGGGTAAGACATTGTGCATGATACAAACAAATCTGGATCAGACACAGTATCAACCCTCAGAGAATGTATAACTTAGACTCACAGAAAAACTATACTACATAATAGTAGCTCAAATATTCATTCAAGGGTAAGACCAATATTATACTTCAAAGATATTGCCAAAGAAACACTTACTAAGTTTGTTGGAATGTTATTGTAATTATTGTATAAGAGAGTTCTAAAAGTATTAAAAAATGTAAATATCTTCCCTTGGCAAAAATTATGTATATATCAAAAATTTAATAATATCAAAGTTATTTCAATATTATTACTCAGCAAAGACCACTGCATATATTAATCTTTGTACGTTAGGATATAAAACTAATCATAAAACTGATCATAAAACTATTATCAGAAGACTAATCATAATCACAAAACTAATCATAAAACTGATCATATTGGCAGTTCCAAAAAAACCTAGCCTTAGGTTCTCAAGGTTTATTTATAAATCTCATGTCTAATAAAGTCAGGATAACTGCAAAAGATAAATGATTTAAGTAAAAAATAATATATTACTTTAAAAATTCATTTTTATTTCTATTGACCTGTTGTTTGCAAATTATTAGAAACATTCACTATAATGTTTAGGAAATTCAATTTTTTTAAATTTATTTATTTTATTATTATTATTATTATTATACTTTAAGTTTTAGGGTACATGTGCACAATGTGCAGGTTAGTTACATATGTATACATGTGCCATGCTGGTGCGCTGCACCCACTAACTCGTCATCTAGCATTAGGTATATCTCCCAATGCTGTCCCTCCCCGCTCCCCCAACCCACAACAGTCCCCAGAGTGTGATGTTCCCCTTCCTGTGTCCATGTGTTCTCATTGTTCAATTCCCACCTATGAGTGAGAATATGCGGTGTTTGGTTTTTTGTTCTTGCAATAGTTTACTGAGAATGATGATTTCCAATTTCATCCATGTCCCTACAAAGGACATGAACTCATCATTTTTTATGGCTGCATAGTATTCCATGGTGTATATGTGCCACATTTTCTTAATCCAGTCTATCATTGTTGGACATTTGGGTTGGTTCCAAGTCTTTGCTATTGTGAATAATGCCGCAATAAACATACGTGTGCATGTGTCTTTATAGCAGCATGATTTATAGTCGTTTGGGTATATACCCAGTAATGGGATGGCTGGGTCAAATGGTATTTCTAGTTCTAGATCCCTGAGGAATCGCCACACTGACTTCCACAATGGTTGAACTAGTTTACAGTCCCACCAACAGTGTAAAAGTGTTCCTATTTCTCCACATCCTCTCCAGCACCTGTTGTTTCCTGACTTTTTAATGATTGCCATTCTAACTGGTGTGAGATGGTATCTCATTGTGGTTTTGATTTGCATGTCTCTGATGGCCAGTGATGGTGAGCATTTTTTCATGTGTTTTTTGGCTGCATAAATGTCTTCTTTTGAGAAGTGTCTGTTCATGTCCTTCGCCCACTTTTTGATGGGGTTGTTTTTTTCTTGTAAATTTGTTTGAGTTCATTGTAGATTCTGGATATTAGCCCTTTGTCAGATGAGTAGGTTGTGAAAATTTTCTCCCATTTTGTAGGTTGCCTGTTCACTCTGATGGTAGTTTCTTTTGCTGTGCAGAAGCTCTTTAGTTTAATTAGATCCCATTTGTCAATTTTGTCTTTTGTTGCCATTGCTTTTGGTGTTTTAGACATGAAGTCCTTGCCCATGCCTATGTCCTGAATGGTAATGCCTAGGTTTTCTTCTAGGATTTTTATGGTTTTAGGTCTAACGTTTAAGTCTTTAATCCATCTTGAATTGATTTTTGTATAAGGTGTAAGGAAGGGATCCAGTTTCAGCTTTCTACATATGGCTAGCCAGTTTTCCCAGCACCATTTATTAAATAGGGAATCCTTTCCCCATTGCTTGTTTTTCTGAGGTTTGTCAAAGATCAGATAGTTGTAGATATGTGGCGTTATTTCTGAGGGCTCTGTTCTGTTCCATTGATCTATATCTCTGTTTTGGTACCAGTACCATGCTGTTTTGGTTACCGTAGCCTTGTAGTATAGTTTGAAGTCAGGTAGTGTGATGCCTCCAGCTTTGTTCTTTTGGCTCAGGATTGATTTGGCGACGCGGGCTCTTTTTTGGTGCCATATGAACTTTAAAGTAGTTTTTGCCAATTCTGCGAAGAAAGTCATTGGTAGCTTGATGGGGATGGCATTGAATCTGTAAATTACCTTGGGCAGTATGGCCATTTTCATGATATTGATTCTTCCTACCCATGAGCATGGAATGTTCTTCCATTTGTTTGTATCCTCGTTTATTTCCTTGAGCAGTGGTTTGTAGTTCTCCTTGAAGAGGTACTTCACATCCCTTGTAAGTTGGATTCCTAGGTATTTTATTCTCTTTGAAGCAATTGTGAATGGGAGTTCACTCATGATTTGGCTCTCTGTTTGTCTGTTGGTGTATAAGAATGCTTGTGATTTTTGTACATTGATTTTGTATCCTGAGACTTTGCTGAAGTTGCTTATCAGCTTAAGGAGATTTTGGGCTGAGACAATGGGGTTTTCTAGATATACAATCATGTCATCTGCAAACAGGGACAGTTTGACTTCCTCTTTTCCTAATTGAATACCCTTTATTTCCTTCTGCCTAATTGCCTGGGCCAGAACTTCCAACACTATGTTGAATAGGAGTGGTGAGAGAGGGCATCCCTGTCTTGTGCCAGTCTTCAAAGGGAATGCTTCCAGTTTTTGCCCAGTCAGTATGATATTGGCTGTGGGTTTGTCATAGATAGCTCTTATTATTTTGAAATACGTCCCATCAATACCTAATTTATTGAGAGTTTTTAGCATGAAGGGTTGTTGAATTTTGTCAAAGGCCTTTTCTGCATCTATTGAGATAATCATGTGGTTTTTGTCTTTGGTTCTGTTTATATGCTGGATTACATTTATTGATTTGCATATATTGAACCAGCCTTGCATCCCAGGGATGAAGCCCACTTGATCATGGTGGATAAGCTTTTTGATGTGCTGCTGGATTCGGTTTGCCAGTATTTTATTGAGGATTTTTGCATCAATGTTCATCAAGGATATTGGTCTAAAATTCTCTTTTTTGGTTGTGTCTCTGCCCGGCTTTGGTATCAGGATGATGCTGGCCTCATAAAATGAGTTAGGGAGAATTCCCTCTTTTTCTATTGATTGGAATAGTTTCAGAAGGAATGGTACCAGTTCCTCCTTGTACCTCTGGTAGAATTCGGCTGTGAATCCATCTGGTCCTGGACTCTTTTTGGTTGGTAAGCTATTGATTATTGCCACAATTTCAGATCCTGTTATTGGTCTATTCAGAGATTCAACTTCTTCCTGGTTTGGTCTTGGAAGAGTGTATGTGTTGAGGAATTTATCCATTTCTTCTAGATTTTCTAGTTTATTTGCATAGAGGTGTTTGTAGTATTCTCTGATGGTAGTTTGTATTTCTGTGGGATCGGTGGTGATATCCCCTTTATCATTTTTTATTGCGTCTATTTGATTCTTCTCTCTTTTTTTCTTTATTAGTCTTGCTAGCGGTCTATCAATTTTGTTGATCCTTTCAAAAAACCAGCTCCTGGATACATTAATTTTTTGAAGGGTTTTTTGTGTCTCTATTTCCTTCAGTTCTGCTCTGATTTTAGTTATTTCTTGCCTTCTGTTAGCTTTTGAATGTGTTTGCTCTTGCTTTTCTAGTTCTTTTAATTGTGATGTTAGGGTGTCAATTTTGGATCTTTCCTGCTTTCTCTTGTGGGCATGTAGTGCTATAAATTTCCCGGTACACACTGCTTTGAATGCGTCCCAGAGATTCTGGTATGTTGTGTCTTTGTTCTCGTTGGTTTCAAAGAACATCTTTATTTCTGCCTTCATTTCATTATGTACCCAGTAGTCATTCAGGAGCAGGTTGTTCAGTTTCCATGTAGTTCAGCGGTTTTGAGTGAGATTCTTAATCCTGAGTTCTAGTTTGATTGCAATGTGGTCAGAGAGGTAGTTTGTTATAATTTCTGTTCTTTTACATTTGCTGAGGAGAGCTTTACTTCCAACTATGTGGTCAATTTTGGAATAGGTGTGGTGCTGAAAAAAATGTATATTCTGTTGATTTGGGGTGGAGAGATCTGTAGATGTCTATTAGGTCTGCTTGGTGCAGAGCTGAGTTCAATACCTGGGTATCCTTGTTGACTTTCTGTCTCGTTGATCTGTCTATTGTTGACAGTGGGGTGTTAAAGTCTCCCATTATTAATGTGTGGGAGTCTAAGTCTCTTTGTATGTCACTCAGGACTTGCTTTATGAATCTGGGTGCTCCTGTATTGGGTGCATATATATTTAGGATAGTTAGCTCTTCTTGTTGAATTGATCCCTTTACCATTATGTAATGACCTTGTCTCTTTTGATCTTCGTTGGTTTAAAGTCTGTTTTATCAGAGACTAGGATTGCAACCCCTGCCTTTTTTTGTTTCCCATTTGCTTGGTAGATCTTCCTCCATCCTTTTATTTTGAGCCTATGTGTGTCTCTGCACGTGAGATGGGTTTCCTGAATACAGCACACTGATGGGTCTTGACTCTTTATCCAATTTGCCAGTCTATGTCTTTTAATTGGAGCATTTAGTCCATTTACATTTAAAGTTAATATTGTTATGTGTGAATTTGATCCTGTCATTATCATGTTAGCTGGTTATTTTGCTCGTTAGTTGATGCAGTTTCTACCTAGTCTCGATGGTCTTTACATTTTGGCATGATTTTGCAGCGGCTGGTACCGGTTGTTCCTTTCCATGTTTAGCGCTTCCTTCAGGAGCTCTTTTAGGGCAGGCCTGGTGGTGACAAAATCTCTCAGCATTTGCTTGTCTGTAAAGTATTTTATTTCTCCTTCACTTCTGAAGCTTAGTTTGGCTGGATATGAAATTCTGGGTTGAAAATTCTTTTCTTTGAGAATGTTGAATATTGGTCCCCACTCTCTTCTGGCTTGTAGAGTTTCTGCCGAGAGATCCGCTGTTAGTCTGATGGGCTTCCCTTTGAGGGTAACCCGACCTTTCTCTCTGGCTGCCCTTAACATTTTTTCCTTCATTTCAACTTTGGTGAATCTGACAATTATGTGTCTTGGAGTTGCTCTTCTCGAGGAGTATCTTTGTGGCGTTCTCTGTATTTCCTGAATCTGAATGTTGGCCTGCCTTGCTGGATTGGGGAAGTTCTCCTGGATAATATCCTGCAGAGTGTTTTCCAACTTGGTTCCATTCTCCCCGTCACTTTCAGGTACACCAATCAGACGTAGATTTGGTCTTTTCACATAGTCCCATATTTCTTGGAGGCTTTGCTCGTTTCTTTTTATTCTTTTTTCTCGAAACTTCCCTTCTCGCTTCATTTCATTCATTTCATCTTTCATCGCTGATACCCTTTCTTCCAGGTGATCGCATCGGCTCCTGAGGCTTCTGCATTTTTCACGTAGTTCTCGAGCCTTGGTTTTCAGCTCCATCAGCTCCTTTAAGCACTTCTCTGTATTGGTTATTCTAGTTATACATTCTTCTAAATTTTTTTCAAAGTTTTCAACTTCTTTGCCTTTGGTTTGAATGTCCTCCTGTAGCTCAGAGTAATTTGATCATCTGAAGCCTTCTTCTCTCAGCTCGACAAAGTCATTCTCCATCCAGCTTTGTTCCGTTGCTGGTGAGGAACTGCGTTCCTTTGTAGGAGGAGAGGCACTCTGCTTTTTAGAGTTTCCAGTGTTTCTGCTCTGTTTTTTCCCCATCTTTGTGGTTTTATCTACTTTTGGTCTTTCATGATGGTGATGTACAGATGGGTTTTTGGTGTGGATGTCCTTTCTGTTTGTTAGTTTTCCTTCTAACAGACAGGACCCTCAGCTGCAGGTCTGTTGGAGTACCCGGCCGGCTGTGTGATGTGTCAGTCTGTCCCTGCTAGGGGGTGCCTCCCAGTTAGGCTGCTCGGGGATCAGGGGTCAGGGACCCACTTGAGGAGGCAGTCTGCCCGTTCTCAGATCTCCAGCTGCGTACTGGGAGAACCACTGCTCTCTTCAAAGCTGTCAGACAGGGACACTTAAGTCTGCAGAGGTTACTGCTGTCTTTTTGTTTGTCTGTGCCACCTAAGCAAGCCTGGGCAATGGCGGGTGCCCCTCCCCCAGCCTAGCTGCTGCCTTGCAGTTTGATCTCAGACTGCTGTGCTAGCAATCAGCGAGACTCCATGGGCGTAGGACGCTCTGAGCCAGGTGTGGGACACAATCTCGTGGTGCGCCGTTTTTTAAGCCCTTTGGAAAAGCGCAGTATTTGGGTGGGAGTGACCCTTTCTTCCAGGTGCCGTCTGTCACCCCTTTCTTTGACTAGGAAAGGGAACTCCCTGACCCCTTGCACTTCTTGAGTGAGGCAATGCCTCGCCCTGCTTCGGCTCGCGCACGGTGCGTGCATCCACTGACCTGCGCCCACTGTCTGGCACTCCCTAGTGAGATGAACCCGGTACCTCTGATGGAAATGCAGAAATCACCCATCTTCTGCGTTGCTCACGCTGGGAGCTGTAGAATGGAGCTGTTCCTGTTTGGCCATCTTGGCTCTTCCCTCCTATAAAACTTTTTTTTTTTAAGCAACGCTGACATGTCTCTTACCTCTAAAAGTATTAGAAAAGCAATTTCCTGGAAATTTAGTGAAAGAATTATAATCAAATCCCATATAAAGTTACTATAAAAAATAAGACAATGAAAAGATAAATTATATTCTTACAGACTATAGGAGTTTCCTTACCAATATATTGAATCAGTTAGGTCTTGCAGATTTATTCAAACTCTGATTACTGTTAATAAAACACACTTGCATTTTGAGGTCATGGATAAAAGATAAAATGTCACAAAGAGCAAAATAACTTTGAATTAGAAAAAGTCAGAAATGGGAAGGGTGTGATGGCTCACGCCTGTAGTCCTAGCACTTTCAGAGGCCGAGGCGGGCAGATCACAAGGTCAGGAGATCAAGACCATCTTGGCTAACAAGGTGAAACTCTGTCTCTACTAAAAATACAAAAAAAAAAAAAAAAAAAAAAAAAAATTAGCCGGGCGTGGTGGCGGGCACCTGTAGTCCCTGCTACTCAGGAGGCTGAGGCAGGAGAATGGTGTGAACCCGGGAGGTGGAGCTTGCAGTGAGCCGAGATTGCGCCACTGCACTCCAGCCTGGACGACAGAGCGAGACTCCGTCTCAAAAAAAAAAAAAAAAAAAAAGTCAGAAATGAGATCATAGAACTCAGCAAAATATTAGAAAACAAATATTAAGAAATGAAGTCTAAACTAGAAGGAACATAGAACAAAGCAACACAATAGATACAATAGATAGAGAAATAGAAAGAAAAAAGAAGAAATATTTAAAAATAAAAAAGAAAGAGAAAGATTAAAGGAGTCCAGAAAAAAAATGTTAAAATATGTGCACAATAGGAGTCCCCAAAGAGGAAAATGAAAACAATGAAATGAAAACAAGATTAAAAATGAAAATTCAAAATCTTCCTTGAAATAAAATACAGTTGAAACTATATGCTAAAATGACACTACTTAGCTAGGAAAAGTCAACTCAAAAATGACAAATTCTAGGCATATTCTAAGAAAATTACTGATCCTACAGAATAAAATAAAATAAAGGAAGAAAAAGAAATAAAAAAAGGGAGATTTCCAAAACACATCAAGCCAGTTATGAAGGAAACAAAAACAGATTTTGAGCATGTTTCTCCATAGTAATACTTTATGCCAAATCACCATAGTATAAAATACATTTAGCTACATTGGAAAAGAAATTAAAATTGGGGGTATATTTTACATCCAGCCAAACTAACTGTTAGATATAGAGGCCACAGAAATATGGTTGTAAATATCATTCATGTTCCCATAAACCTCTACGGAGAAAGCTACTAGGAAATTATCTTCCAACAACCAAAACTGCAAGAGAACCATCAACTTAAGGACTTTTGATAAGCATTAAAAATGTTTACATGTAAAACTTAGATTAATAATGGTCTCAAAGGAGATAGTATAATATATAGTAGCTGTATGTCTGACAATGTAGGTATAGGACAATTATCAAAAATGATGGGAGAAAGCAAATAAAAAGTATAAAAAGATTACTAGACATAAGTGGGTATTACTTTAAATCATATGTCTTAAGACAAGGAAAGGAAAAGATAAAATTAATAGCTAATGTCAATATTGCTTATCATAGGAAGCCAATATGCAATAACCAAAGAAGCAAAAAGGCATTGAAAAGAGAAATAGGGCTCTAATATAATAATACTGATATAAAATTACTCATTAGAATAAAAATATAGACTTTCTTAAATACTAAAATATCTATTTAAAAGAGAGAATGAGAAAAAAGACCATTTAATGACAAACTATTCACATAAAAATTTGTATAAATATTAAAGTAACATTAAAAATATGATTAAATAGATGAACTATATAAACACACATGTACATAATCTGAAATTTTCCTTTTATTTATAAGATATATATACATATCTTATATATATTTATTATATATATTTATATATATAGTTTAAGTAAAAGCAAATTTGTAGATTAGCTGACAAAAAATATCACACAACTTAAAGAAAGTGATTCAGAATAATGTTTTTATTTTTATTTTAAGGATTGATGAAAACTTACTGGACAAATGAGGATAAAAGAAAGCAGGGTTACAATCTTGATATCTGAGAAAATAGAATTTAGAACAAAACAAATGCACTGAAAGAAACAAAGGTTACTATTGGATGTCAAAGACTGCAATTCAAATAATTTTTTAATACGTATACATCCAGTGCCACAACAAGCTTTAATAAAGCAGAAATTATAGAAGATGCAAGGAAAAATAGAAATACAGCAAAAAAGAAGTGTGAGGGGTGGTACTAAATCCTACAATATAGTAAAACATACTACTAAGTCTGTAGTTTTAAAAGTTTGGTATTAGTGAAGATAGCCAGAGGAACAGAAGAGAAAATTTAGAATTAGGCCCATTTATATATGGATTTAGTATACAATAAGGGCAACATCTCAAATTACTAGAAAAATATATATTTTTAAAAACGTGGTGTAAAAATATATACTTGGGTGAATTTCAAGTGAACAAGAGATTCTATTAAAGAAATGAAGCCGTACAAATAATAGAAGGAAACTTGGTTGAATTTTTCTCTATGCCTAGTCTGAACAAATATTCCATAGTTAGACCAAATCCAGAAATAATAAGGAAAAGTACATTTGCTTACATAAAATTTGTAAAACTATATATGACAAAGGAAAAATAAGGAAACAACAATAATGTATTTAGGAAAATATTTGCAACTTATATCACATACAAAGTCTCAGTATCATACTACATAACAAGCTTCTAAACATATAAAGAAAAGCACCAACCATCCTACAGAAAAATGAGCTAGGGAAATGAACAAACAGTTCATACTGAAAGAAATACAACTGGCTCTAAATCATATAAAAATATTCTCAAGCTTGCTCAAAAAAGAAAAAAAAATGTCAATTAAAACTACATTGATACCATTTTTCATATATTATACTGGCAAATATCCACAGCTTTGACAACACATTCTCTTGGAAAGGCTGTAAAGAAACTGGCACTCTCATATATTGCTGATGGGAATGCAAAAAGATACGTAACACATGGAGGGAAATTTGGCAATTGCTATGAAAATTGCATGAGCACTTTGACCCAGAAATTTTACTTCTGGGAATTTATCTCAAAAATACACTGGTAATTTTCAAAAAGAGATCTGTACGAAAAATATGCACCATATAGACATATAGTTATCATGAGACTATTTGTAAAAGCTAAAAACTTGAAACACATTAAATGTCCATCAACAGAGAATGATTGAATAAACTCATGTACAATCACACAGTGGAGAATCATGTAGCTGTGAAAAAGAATTAGGAATATTTATATACTTTTATGAAGTAATGTCTACAATATATTGTTAAGTGAAAAAGAAGGTAGTACATAAGCACTTATCTAACAAAGGAAGATATATGTGTGTTTAGATAAGGAAGATATGTATATTTCTTTGTTAGGTAAGGAAGATATATATGTATCTTCCTTTGTTAAGAAGGAAGATGTGTGTGTGTGTGTGTGTGTGTGTGTGTATATATATATATGAAGGAAAGAAGATATATATACACATATACATAGTGTGTGTATATTTATATATACACACACACTTTCACATACCACTGTATGTGTGTGTGCATGCTTATAGTTATATTTAATAAAAGCAAAGAATTAAAAAATAAACAATAAAATTCAGAAAACACTTGTTATATTTATGGTGAAGTGATGACACAGGATGAAGATAGAAGAGCTAGATTTCTGGGAATATGTTTCGTTTATAATCTTTGCTAGACTAGTCATATGTATACTCAATTTAAATCTATTTAGAGTTGTTGCTTTAATGCCTTGGGAGCAGAGACTCTTTACATCCTTAGAACTACAACATTCTGGTTGATCAATTCTCTTTAGGTGGTAACTTGAATAGTATGGCTGTTCCTTTATAGAACAGAATCTGAAGCCCATAAAACAGTTTGACAACTATTGAATTAGAAAAGAGAATTATCTCTCATATACTAAATCTACACAAGATTACATATTTTCATTATTACTTACATGTTGATTACAACAAAACACACATATAACTCAAATTTTTAAAAAGGAAAAATTGAAGAATTTTAAGATGAAGAATAAAAGAATATATGTTTATATCAAATGTCAACATAGTTGTTGCTGGACATAAAATTGGCTGTAATCTTTCTAGAAGTCAAAATAAAACAAGTTTCATATCTCTTATTTTCAGACAGAATACAAATAATTCAGCAAGGGATACAAAGTAATTTCTGGTCCAATATTCAGAAAAAAATTATCAGAAAATTATGTAGAAAAGAGGTGACTTTATCAGTTAGAATTCCTTCACTTGCAAGTCATGGAAAATCTATTCAAACCAGCTTAAACAATAAGGCTAACCTTGAAAAAAGAGGAAGACCATTTCCAGAAGCCTAGAAAGCCTCTTTTCATGTCTTCACCCAACTTGGAATACTTAGATCAATAAGTCTCTAGAAAAGGAGGTGGAGTCAGCTACCCCAATATTTGTGTACTCCATGGAGTAGAGATGAATACGGTAACAAAATTGACTTCTGCTAAAAAAATAAAAAATAAATTGGCCAGGCATGGTGGCTCAGGCCTGTAATCCCAGTACTTTGGAAGGCCGAGGCAGGGGGATCACCTGAAGACAAGAGTTCGAGACTACCTTGGCCAACAAGGTGAAACTCCCATCTCTACTAAAAATACAAAATTAGCCAGGCAGGGTCACGCACTTCTGTAATCCTAGCTACTCAGGAGGCTGAGGCATGAGAATCACTTGAACCTGGGAGGCAGTGGTTGCAGTGAGCCGAGATTGCACCACTGCACTCCAGCCTGGGTGACAAGAGAGAAACTCTGTCTCAAAAAAAAAAAAAAAAAATTAATTAATTTTAAAAAAGAGGACAGAGGGATGGCAAACTCCAATGACCATTACTATGAGTTAATGGGAATTGTCTTTATCATCAACTTTCTACAATTACCGAGTGGATTTTATGCAACCATTTCTCACTCATCTTTGTTAGAAATCAGGCCTCATAAGAAAGACATCTCAGCCAAGTTTACAAATATGTAGCCTTTATCCAAGTGAGATTGAACTGAGAATGCCTACAAGGAATATTGAAAGCACTTCCCTTTGACTAACGTTTTCTAACCCAAATTAAACGGCAGATGAGTAAACTGTAGGAATTCTATAAGATAGATTCAGGAAGTTATGAAGCAAAATACGGGAAAGGCAGAGGGAGCCACTGCACTGCAATATCCATCAAAAAAGAAAACGAAAAAGAGGACAGGCTTTTACGCACTGTTGTAAACAATCCTGCCTGAGTAGCACTTACTAACTGCATTGATAAACACTTGCTCTAGGTACTAGATAGCAAGTTGTTTTAGGTTACCTTTACGATAACGAATGTGGTTGCTAGTATTCTGTAAGGGTAGAGCAATTAGTATAAAAAACAGTCAAAAACAGGTAGGGCTGTCAATCAATTATTAAGTTTTCTCACCAAGGAGAAGACCATCTAACCTCATTATAGAAATAGGCTATTGTGGTTCTTACAAGGAAAACCAGTTTTTAAGAATGTCTTTTAAATAGGCAAAATGCTTACCAAAGACCATACACTTCTACACTAGGGAACAAGACAGTATGTCTTTTCCTGGATCATTTTCAGAGCATGTGTTACCACATGAGCGCCACAGACATAAGGTAATCTCAATAACATCTTTGTGGAGAATTGAAGCTAAACATCATAACCACCAAAGTAAAGGCCAGGATAGCTTATTGGCTCAATGTATCTACCATCTAGGTAGCCAAATAAGTTTTCTAAATATGTGGAGTTATTAAAAGTGACCCATGCAACATTAGAAAATGACCCACGCAACATTAGAAAATGTTTGCCACATAATATGCTTTTAGTTTTCTTATCCTGAGCACTACTTTCCTGACAGCAGTTAGATACTAGAATCATTTGTCTCTTAAGGCCATGCTTGTTTCATGCTGTTAAAGCTGTCATCACTTAGTAGAGAGGCCTATACATAAAGTTTATCTAAAAAAGGAATCTGATCTTTAAGGTATAATTTTAAAAAGAAGGGGGAGCAACTGAATCAACACTTCAAATTATTTTAGAATGACTGAGATTCTGTGTTAACCTCATGTATCTTGGCCCATAGCCATTTTCCTGTCCACAGAATCAATGACAAGTGAAAAGTTAATGAAAGCTACGAAAAGACACATTGTTGAACTGTTCAAGATTGTATTCAGCTGCATATTATAGAAATCTGACAAACAATGGCTTAGACAAGTAAGGATTTTTTTTTTTTTAAATACTCACATTACAAGGAATACAATTGAAAGCAATTTAGGGCTCATGCACAAGGAGCCAGGCTACTTCTGCATTGAAGATAGAAAGGCTGTTAGACTTCTAGGTATCACATCTATGTTTAATGAAGAAGGAGGAAGATGGAGTGGTAAACATTTATACCAGTTTATTGTGTGTGTGTCATGCACAACCATACTTATAAACTAAGTTACCAGAAGCCCCATTTTTCATGAAGACCTCCATTAATATGGCATTGGCCAGATCTAGAAAACATGACTTCCTTTAGCTTTAATTACTTTAAATGTAATACAATGCCTCCCTCCAAAAGTTAGAGTTCTGTTAATAAGAAGTGAGGGGAAAGTGAATATTGATTAGGCAATTAGGAGTATTTGCCTCTATTATCCTTAAATTCTCTGTAATATTAAAATGGGCATAACTGTAAATTCTGGAAAAGCTGAACCTAAAACCCACTTGCTCTTCACATTATATGTTGGACTAAAAAGTTATTTATTTATTCACTCAAGAAGCATTATTATATGCAAATTCTGACCCAATACTATATTCGATGTTAAGGACAAAAAGCGACCCCAACCCACCCCTAAGGAGCACACAGTCTGGTAAGTGAGAGCCACTTTGAAAAAAGAAAAAGGTGAAAGGGGCTATATGTACAGTGGCCAGAAGCAACAACAGAAAAAATGATGAATTATACCTGGGGAGATTAGAAAGGGGGAGTGTCAGGAATGACGTCATGCCTGAGTTAGTTATTGAGCAATATCTTGAAAAGAAGTGTGCCTCTGCTAGATAGATTGCCTGGGGTTATACAGAGTAAATTTACACTAGTTCTGGAAAAATCACATAGGAATCAAAAAACCCTAGTGTATTCATAGTTCTACAGGACTCAACCAAACAATTTTCTTTCATTGCACAAAGTTATGAGAGAATATAAAAAATGAAACTCTTAAGTGGAAAGGAAAACACTTGTGTAATATAGTCAATCATCAAAAGAAACTTTTTCCAAAACAAAAGAATATTCATTCCTGAACTTGTTGCTTACCGTGAAAGCCCCAATAAATCTTAGATTGAGGTCTGAGCATTTAAATTAAAATGGCAACCTTATACCCCCAACCACAGCAATGCAATAGTACTGCATTAGCATGTAATAGGAGATTTCCATGCTGCTAGCCTAAGGGGTAGAGTCTGCAATTCCATAGTTCATCTCTCCTAGCTATATTGCTAAATCCATCACTTCTTCTGTCTTAAAGGGCAAGAGTGTCTCTATGGAGTATCTCACAGCATGTTTATTACTTAACATTGCCATTTTCTCGGTCCCAGATTGTTTCAGTGTCTGACCCTGATTGACAGTTCCCAGCAAAATTTTTATGGGAACTTCTGTGCAATATGGATATCATCGCTGGTAGGTGAATCCTTGAAATAGCTAACTAAGTGTATCCCTTTTGTTCTTTCTGCACAACCAGATATTTCTTATTTTGGCTGCCATTATAACTTCCACTGACTATGTCAAAATGCCTTCATGATCTCTGTTACTAGAAAATGTAGTCTATTGGTCAATGAATCTAGTTGACCTTTTTATATTTTTTAATATTAGGGCCTTCCCAAAAAACAGAACTCATCTTTGAAGTTTCCAGTAAAGAGACACTAATAAAGGGACTACATAAAGAAGGGGTGAACAAGATTAAAGGAAGAATAAGAGATGATGAGGCTTCTAGAGAGTAGCAAAGGTGGGAAGACATTGCTATCCATAAGACTGAAAGGACAAGGGAAAGAAGAGATGATCAGTGAGAAATGCAACTTGGAGGCCCTCCCAGGGCAGAAACTGTTAAGTGTGGAAGGACACAGCTATTGACAAAGTCATGGCACAAAGAATGGAAGGAGGAAGGAGAAGAAGTGCCTTCACTTTCTTCTCTTTCCTCCTCCTTCTTCTATTGGTTCTTTCCATTGGTCAACTCCAAGGAAAAAACAGCCAGGCAACCTCAAGGCATAGAGCTGAGAATGGGGGAGAATGGCTCTGTTGGAAAGCCAGCAAATTCAGAATAACCAAGCAATCACTCTATATATTTTACATTGAAAGCATTGGGTTTTTGATACTCCAGAAATCTCTAAATACCAGATAATAAATTATATCTTTGCTTCTGGCTAGGATAAGATGTCCTGGAGGTTGGGCACTGCAATGCTGAAGGACTCCAGTAACATATGCCATGTTTTTTAAAGACTCATTTTTGGGGGGGGCCGAGGTTTAAATTATGGCTCCATGATTTATTATCATGGCCAAGTTACTTTACTTCTGTAAACAGTTTTCTGAGTTAACAAATGGACACATTCATCAAAAAGATAAATGAAATAATTTATATTAAGCAATCATCACCATAACTAGCACATTGTAAGCAACTGGTAAGTGTTAGTTATTATCATTAGAAATTATAAACTTGGAACCATGTAGTGTTGACATAATACTAATACCTACATCTTAAATTGTGAGACTTAAATGAATAAATAAATGTAAAGCACTTAGGAAAAATGTGGCCAAAACTAATATTGTTGTTATTACTTAAAATTATGCTTTAAGAATGTATTTATTGAAATTTTTAAAAGGATCACAATATATGTTATGTTTCAAAGAGTAGGAGATAAAAGAGCATGTACAATGTGGTCTCATTTTTGTAAAAATTTTATGTACCATAGTGCCCAGCAAAGAACTTCAAATTATTTTAGCAAAATAACTGCATTTAAAAGTTGCTAGTTCTTGATAAAAGAAATAGCACACCACCACGATGAAACATGATTCTGTTTTGAAAATGAAACCAGGATGGCCATTTAATTTTACTCATTATGGAAGATGACCCTCATCATTGATTAGTCCACAAATCTTGAGAAGTTTCCCTTAGGGTATTTTCTGTTATAGACAGTAGTTACTGACTTTAGGAGCAGTGATGTCTGATGCCCATTTAATTATCCTCATTGGCATCATAATTCTTTTATGATATCAAACCTGTCTTAAATCTTGGGCTCTAAACAGAGGCTGTCAATATTTTAAAGAAAGATGGTAGACTGGAGGAAGGTGGCATAGAATTAAGAACAATGCTGAGAACCATGTGACGTAGAGAACTGTACGGAGCTCCACAATGAGGAAAGGGAAAGCCTCCTAAACTTGAAGAAATTCAGTTTTTGCCTGCTTAAAACATTTATGTTCTACTCCTGAATATGTACATTAAGTTGAGAAAAATTGAGAATTCAAGGTAAATAATTTATCACCAAGCAGATTTGATATATAAAGATTTTAGAAAGAGAGAGATTGACAGACAATAACGAAAGCACATCTAGATTAAACATCAGCATTCTGAAATGCTGACGACATTGATTTAATTTTCCTGAACAAAATGAAGTTGAAGAAAAAAGAAATCATGACAGATGATGCAAATGAATGTTTTATGATGGAGCTATATTTGTTAATTGTATTTTAAATGCCCGACCTTTTAATTTTTTAATCTTCTCTGTAACCACACTGCTTCAGACGTAATCATGGCATATCAGGACCCCCTAAAATGCTTCAGTGGTTTCCATTTGTACTTTGAATAAAACCTAAACTTTGAGCTCTGACTTTACAACCCTACCCAGCCTTGCTCCTGCTCATTGACGTAGTTTTCAGTCACTAACTTCACTCCAACTACCTTGAATATGAGAAGTTTCTTCTTACCTTGAGCACTTTACACTTGTTCTTCCTTCCTATTCTGGTCTCAGTTCAAATGTCAACTTCTCAGAATGCCTTTTTCTGGGCATCATTTCTAAAGTCCTTTAATAGTTTACTTTCTCTGAGGCTTATGTCATTGTATGACATTGCATCTTTTATTTCTTTTTCTGCTCTTGTTTATCTTGCTGGCCCGAGGACTGTCACTGGAGGTATAATATCTGTGCAGCTGAGAAACCCCACTGGGATGTGAAGTTGATTAAAATTGGTGCAGGTTGACCAGCTGCCCAGAGACATTCACTACCCACCGCCAAGCTGACCCTCCTCACCCCCAAAAATCCAGGTTTGGTGGAACACAACCTAAGGGCACTGCCTCTTCTATATGCTGCTTATTTTTAAGAGGTGAAAATTTATCTGGCTGAAAATTCATGAACAGATTTGTCCATAGTGGGTCTGTGGTGCTTGGGGCTCTCTGTGCTGGGGCTCATACCCTCTCCCTCCTCAAACAGACAAGGAAAAAATGCACTGAAGTATAATAAATATACTTAAAATATAAGGAAATGCTATATATAAGATATAAAGCAGGAACAATAAGTTATTTTTAGAAGAAGCCAAGTGATAATATTAAGTATAAAAAATAAAGTAGGAAAATTACAAAACTCAGTGGGAGCCAGGCACGGTGGCTCACGCCTGTAATCCCAGCACTTTGGGAGCCCGATGCAGGAAGATCACTTGAGGTCAGGAGTACGAGACAAGCCTGACCAACATGGAGAAACCTTGTCTCTACTAAAAATACAAAAATTAGCCAGGTGAGGTGGTACGCGCCTATAATTCCAGCTACTCAGGAGGCTGAGACAGGAAAGTAGCTTAAACCTGGTAGGTGGAGGATGCAATGAGCCAAGATTGCACTACTGCACTCCAGCCTGGGAGACAAAGCAAGATTCCCTCTGGAAAAAAACAAAAAACAAACAAAAAAAACACCTCAATGGGAAGAACAAAAACATAAAAACTAGGATGAATCCACAGGTATAATAAATTACTGAGAGATAGAAAATAAAAAAGAGACATGGAAGATAAAAAAACAGGAAAAACAGAATTACCAAATCTGGAAAATAGTAGTCCCAGGGGAGAGTAAAAGAATAGAGTGAATAAAATATTTCAAGAAACTCCCAGATTCAAGAAAGATGAAAGGCCTCACTTGGATTGAAGGTGCTCATAGAGTGCTCAAAGGAAAACCCCTCCCTCAGATACAATGTAAGGATATCGAAGAATGTCAAAGAGAAAACTTAAGAAGCTAGACAAAGGATAGATTATCTTGAAAGAACAAAAATCATACTGACATTACACACTTTAACACGAATAGTAGATTAAAAAGACAATAGAATATGATTTTGGAGTAAAATAATGTTGAAACTAGACTTTAATTATGTGGTTTTTATATCATGATACTAATCCCTTAGAATAAATTGAAGACATTTTCCAGAATAGATTTGTATTATATCCTCTATTTACATGACAATTTGGTTGCATATCATTGGGTTGAAAAGAAAATTTTAAAGAATATTAAAAATGCTTAGAACTGAATATCAATGTAAACTCTAAAAGACAAAAAACTGTGCTAAAGGAGTAATTGAAAGAAACTTCAACTCCAAATAAATGTATCAGTAAACAGAAAAAAAATAGAAATTCTACAGAAAAGCAAATTCAAAAATCCAAGAAGAAAGGCATAAATTGGTAAGAATGTCATTTTTAGATAATGTATATATACATAATCGACAAGCTTAGAAGAAGAGCTTAGCAAAGTAACTGAAAACAAGACCAACTAACAAAAATAATAGCCTTTCTCTATACCAGAAACAATAAACTAGAAAATACATGTTAAAATGCCTCATTTACAATAGTAATAGAAACTATAAAACATCAAGTAATTAACTCAATAAATATGCACAAAATCTTTGACAAATTCAATTAGCGATAAATTATATATGTAGACAGTATGATCCAACAATGCCATCACTAAGGAATTCATCCTAACTACATCCTTAATAATAACAAGCTCTTATCACATGTTTATTGTAGCATATCTTATGTTGACTAGAAGTTGCAGTCAATTAAAACACCCTTCAATGTGGATTTGATGCCACCAGTAAAATTCAAAGCACCATCAAAAACAACTAGTAAATATACACACGGCAATATGGAAAGATCTTAAAAGCACAATGCTGGGTGAGAAAATAAGAAACAGAGTGAGATCTTTACTACAATATCACTGTGTAAATTTAAATTTCATGCACACAAAACAACAATACATGTTTTACAAAAACATAAAAACAGAAAGCTAAGTAACCAACATACTAGAATGGTTATCTATTGATGTGCCTAGGTGTGGGGAAGGTGTGAATATGAGGAATGGGGTCAAAGGAAATAAATAAAATGTAAATAAAATATAGTCATATACCACATAATGATGCTTTAGTCAATCACAAACTGCTTATGTAAAGATGATCCAGTAAGATTGTAATACGATATTTTTACTGTACCTTTTCTGTGTTTGGATGCACAAATATCACAAATATGTCACAGTTGCCTGGTATTCAGCACAATAATATGCTGTACAAGTTTGTAGCCTAAGAGCAATAGGCTGTAGCACATAGCCTAGGTGTGTAGTTGGCTATCCCATCTAGGTTTGTGTAAATCCACTCTATGATGGTCACACAACAAAATCGCCTAACGATATATGTTTCTGAATGTATTTTAGTCATTAAGCAATGCATGACTGCAATAACAAGAGAGGAACATGGCATGGACAAATAAAGTAGAGTGCCATAAAGTCAGAACTATAACTGATCCCACTTTTGGTACTTAATGTCCAGAAAAATAAGCAAAATAAAGATAATTTCATTCAATCAACAGTGGCATTCAGAGCCCCAGTAATTTCATTCAATCAACAGCCCCAGTAATTTCATTCAATCAACAGTGGCATTCTGAGCCCCAGTAACAACAGCAGGAAAGGGGAGGTGAAATGGTTAAGTCTGGGCTGCACTATGAACCGATCTACAAGATAAATGAGTTGAGGAAGCAGTACCATTAGTTCTGTGCTGTGTCCATCTTTCTTGCAGCAGAGCAAACAAGACAGCAACACATTGATTTACAGTAAAAGGGCCTATCTTTGCAACCAGAAGGATTGGAAACTTTATTTTTTTTTTCCGGTGAGATCAAATCACTCTTTTAAGAGAGTCACTGAACATCTAAAGAGAGGCTTTGAAAAATAAGTTGATAAAAGAGGTGGGTTCTTTATGTGTCTCCTCAAAGAGCAACATAATTTTCAGCTTTATAATAGCCATTTTTTTCTATCTTACCTGGTTCAATGGCAACTCAGGTGAATAAAGACTTTATTGGGAACATTCCTGAAATGGAGAGAGCTAACAATAGCCTGTGACTAGTCTGAGTTTCTGTAAGGCGTAATGAATAAAATGTAATGTCATTATTATGCCCTAGAAAAAGATAGGGGATGGGGCCTGTCCATGGACAGATAAAAGTAGGGACTTTAGTCTGAATCCCAGAGGTGACTGGCATTTAGAGAAATGAAGGATTTAATTTCCAGCAAACGATTCTTGTTTCCTCCCAAAATGCCAATTTAGGATTCACATAATGCAATAACCACGTTGCCACTTGACCACCAAAAGGAAATAACCTCTCTGTCTGGGGCTTCTTCAACTGCTTTTGGTTAGTTTGTTTTGGCTGCCTATCTGATTTTTGTTTTATTCCTAAAAATCTGTCCGGGGAAAAAGTTATTTGCTTTTAACTTCTATAACAAGAACCCAATTTTTAAGCTGAACTGGAAAAAAGAAAGCACGGTAGATTTTAGTGAGGTTTCTAAAGTTATTTCTTTGGAAATCTGAAATGACATTATTAATCTTACTGATAAAGGCATTATATTCATTCCATTGGAAAATAATGAATATTTTTCTATTTATCTAAGAACCTCCTGGGAATCGAAAGCAAACTTAAGGAACACAAAATATGCCAGCAATCTAGTCTCCAGGGCACAGTTCAATATACTAGGGATAATAAAATGCAACTATTTGACTTTTTAAATCTCCAACATTTTTATAGTTTAATTCAGCTCATAGTCATTGTAAGCCTAATTTCTGGGTCTCTGTGTGATGCAAAATATAAATATGCCTTGACTCCTACCCTCTAGGAACTTAAATATCAAAACTTAAAGAAGATGTATATACACTGCTAATTGTAATGTGTAATGTGAAAAATAACAATAGAAATCTAGAGAGAGTAACATGAGTGGAATTGAAGAAGAAGGAATTTGTTTCTGACAGGGAATCTGGAAGTACTCCCTGGAATCTGAAAATGACATCTTAGCAGGGCACTAAAGGACATATAGGGTTTCAGTAGGCTGATATGGAAGTGCAAAGCCATTTTGGGCAGAAATACCAGTCATGTCCAAGGTAAGGGATATAGATTGCACAGCTGTGAAATAGTGAAGGCTCTTCTATTGAAAGTATGGAGCACGTGGATATCTCAGGCCATGATAGTATGAAGCTGGGTTGTGGAAAGCTTGGCTTTGATGTAAGGAAGCATGGGTTTGCTCTGTGGAATATGCTCAGGCTTCTTAACCTACTTGAGCAAGGCAGTGACAGATGTGACTATTACTTGGGTAAGAGCATGAAGTCTGGATTTTGAGGACGAGAATAGATCTACGGTAACCAGTTAGAAACTTCACAGAAGTTCAAGAGAAGAGTAGGAGAAATGGAAAAGAAGAGTCACCTTCAAGAGCCATCAAAGATACATCATTTTAACAGGAATATGTTATGAGCCGGATTAATATGCCTTCTTCTCTTAAGTTTGCTTCTACATGATTTTTTTCTCCAACTCAACCAGAAGCAGACATTTGACTTCAGAGTAATTAGGTTTTTGTAATAATAGGAGATAATTGTTTTTAGAGAGAGGGTCTCGCTGTCGCCCAGGCTGGAGTGCAGTGGCATGATCATGGTGCACTGCAGCCTCGACCTCCTGGACTCAAGTAATCTTCTCACCTCAGCCTCCTAAGTAGCTGGGACTACAGGCACGTGCCACTATGCCCAGCTAATTTTTTTAAAAATTTTTTTGTAGATTCAGGGCCTCACTATGTTGCCCAGCCTGGTCTCAAACTTTGGCCTCAAGTGATCCCCCCATGTTGGCCTCCCAAAACTCTGGGATTACAGGCATGAGCCACTGCACCTGACCTAAAATATTAATTTGACAATTTTTTTTCATTAAAAAATATTTTTGGCCAGGCATGGTGGCTCACACCTGTAATCCCAGCACTTTGGGAGGCCAAGGTGGGTGGATCACCTGATGTCAGGATTCAAGACCAGCCTGGCTAACATGGTGAAACCCTGTTTCTACTAAAAATACAAACAATATTAGCTGGGCGTGGTGGCATGTGCCTATAATCCCAGCTACTCAGGAGGCTGAGGCAGGAGAATCGCTTGAACCCAGGAGGCGGAGGTTGCAGTGAGCCAAGATCACACTATTGTACTCCAGTTTGGACATCAAGAGCAAAACTCCATTTCAAAAAAAAAAAAGAAAAAAAATTTAAGAGACAAGGTCTCACACTGTTGCCCAGCCTGGGAGTGCAGTGGCTATTCACAGGTGCAATCATAGCACACTGCAGCCTTACAATCCTGGCCTCAAGCCATCCTCCTGTCTCAGCCTCTTGAGTAGCTGAGACTACAGGTAAGAGCCAGCATGCCCTACTCAAATTTTAAAATTGGTCATGTGACACCAGGACCACTTTCTATGAAAGACAAAGGGAATGAAACCTGGGAAAGCTGATCACTTCTGCAAGAGACTGTTGTGAACTTGAAGGAACTGCTTAATCAGGAAAAGAATAAATATGTTGAATCAACAAATTTAAGTACTACCAGCACCTTGCTCTTACCCAGCACCATCCCCAGAATCAGTAAGCTGTGAGTTCCAGAGTGTTCTTACAACTATATAGCAAATAAAGTGCCATGTTCATTATGCATTCTCAATACCCTCCACATCAACAGCATTTGCTAACTGTTATCATTTGGATCTGTGTTCCCACCCAAATCTCATGTTCAATTGTAATCCTCAGTGTTGGAGCTAGGGCCTGGTGGGAAGTGATTGGATTGTGGGAGTGGATCCTTCATGAATGGTTTAGCACAGTCCCCTTGGTGCTGTTCTTGTGATGCTGAGTGAGTTCTCAGGAGATCTGGTTATTGAAAAGTGTGTAGCACCTCACTCCTCCCTGTCTTGCTCTTGCTCTGGCCATGTAAGAGGAGCCAGCTTCTACTTTGCCTTCCACCATGACTGTAAGCTTCCTGAGGACTTCTCGGAAGCTGAGCAGATGGCCAGCATCATGCTTCCTATACAGCCTACAGAACCGTGAGCCAATTAAACCTCTTTATTAATTACTGAGTCGCAGGTGTTTCTTCATAGCAGTGTGAGAACGGACTAATATGCTAACTGATCAGATGAGGTGGGAGGAAAGGTTATGAGCCAGAAGGATAAAAGTTGCTGCAGCAGCCAGACTTTTGAACCAGAGTAAGAGGAAGTATAATGATATCAGTAATAAAATTAGGGAACTAATTAGAGAAATGGAAATGATAGATCTGTTTAGGCCTTGTTGACTCTAAAACACTAACCTAACAACATCCATGTGGCCCAGCAGGAAGCTGCAACTGGGAGTCTGGGTGGCGGTCTCTACCGGGCAGCCATCCCACCCATCAGACTGATAACTGAAGCTGGAAGTGAATAAAATGTACTTTCCCTGAAAAAAGCACACGGGGAAGAGACAAGAAGGATGAGAAAATCTCCATAGAAACAAAACTTTAGGATGTAGGTGTTGGGAGGAGAGAGAGGGTGAGAAGCTGAGAAGGGCTGAGAAGCATCAGTCAGGGAGGGGGCAATGAACTTCTGCAGGAGTGCAAAAGGGAGGTGTGGAAAATGTCAAAGGAAAAAGCAGTGTTGAGTAAGCAGAGGTGGTCAACTGGCCCAAATGTTGCAGAAAAGATGAAGAAGAGAAGGACTAGAAAAGGTCACAGCATATGGCTGCTATTAAGTCACTTGTGATATTATTTGATATTCTTTAAACCCAACACTGCCAGATGCTGTCTGAGTTGTCCTTCTTTTACTGATAATATTATACCAGTACCTTAAAAAACTCATCTAAATCAGCTTTGCCCTGTGGTTCTGTCTGAGGGATAAAATATAATGCATGTTGAGTCATTCAGCTGCTTATGAACATGTTAGGAAATTAAATTAACACTTTCAAGTAAGTGCTGCTCTACTGACCAAAATTATGGTCCTGAGGCCTGTTCTAGTTAACAAAGCTTTGCAAGTGCTTAATTAATGGACAGCGAATAGTATTTGCAATGGGACATTTCCTGTGCTGGAAGTTCCTCCCTGGCAATAAGTTTTCCACAAAGGTATCAATTAGTGACCTGCAACCACTAAATGGATTTCTCTGTCCATTTCACCAAATGACCTCTAAATTTACAATTACTGTAATCAGTCACCATGCTGTTTACACAGTACTTAAAGCTGTCTTCATATAATGTTTGGAAATTACTTGCATGCTAGCATTATGAATTTGAATTCAGAATCTCCAGTTAAAATTTCAAAAAGTATTCCTTTACCTGTTTTAAAAAAACAAACAAGCAGGTCAATGGTAGAAGACAACCCAACAAAATAAATGCTTGCAAAATAAACCTGTGCCTGTAGCATCAGATAAAAAGGCACTGGTTACTTTAGTTCTTACATGAACCTGAAGAAGTTAAACATAAACATGGTTATGCTATTAGTTAAAATAATAAGTAGGCTGTAGAGTTAATTACCATCTTGTCTCCAATGATTATTAAATTGAAATGACTACGCACATGTCAATTTACAATAAGAGTCTTAAAATGAGATTCCTAGAAATTTCACAGGATAACAAAACAGCATATAGAAATCTTGGTATCTTTTGATAAAGAAGACTAAGAAATCTTTACTGAATGCTTTTTTCTTTTCAAAGAAACCAATGCTGAGAGAAGGAATGGCTGACAGGAAATGACAAATTCAGTGGAGCATCCCGACAGTTAGGTTATTAGGCAGCAAATCGTCATGCTGATCATGTGTGTAATTGTAGCTTTAATTAAAAAATGATGATGGTGATGAAGAAAGAAGGAGGAGGAGGAGGAAGTGGACGGGGAGAGGAAGAAGAGGGCGGGATGGGGGGATCATTTATTGAGCTGTTATTTTATGCTAGTATCCTTGATGTCATCTAATCTTTATTAATCTTCATTATAGCCTTCTGAAATAAACATTGTAATTATTGATTCTAATAGATACTATGCTTATCATTATTTTAAAGATTAGGAAAATGAAGCCTAAAAGATTAAGCAAATTTTCCAAAATTATGGTAATTTTTGGGGTTTTCTTGTTATAGTTCCTACATTTCTCATCCTAACAATGTAGTCTATCTTCATATTCGGAAAAAGCTATATGAGGAAGTGGATTTAGATAAAACAACAGAGCAATGGGAAGCGTATCTCTTTTTTCCCCCACCCCAAATGTAAACCATACCTTCATTCTTTTTCACTTACTTTACATCATTTCGCCATCATTTATAGATCTCTGCCAGGTCCTGGAATCAAGTCATGTTAAATATCTCACTTTTTTTAAAAATTTAATTTTGTTTTGTTTTGTTTTAGGATAGGGTCTCACTCTGTTGCCCAGGCTGGAGTGCAGTGGTGCCATCACACTCACTACATCCTCAACCTCCTGGGCTCAAGTGATCCTCCCACCTCAGCCTCCAGAGTGGCTGGGACTGCAGGCACACGCCACCACACCTGACTCATTTTTGTATTTTTCTTTTTGGTAGAGATAGAATTTCACCATGTTGCCCACATCAGATCTTACTTTTAAAGAAACATAAGGAGAAGGATGCTTTCCTGAATACAGTCATGTGCCGCATAATAATGTTGTGGTCAACAACACATATACAATGGTGGTCCCATGAGATTACAATACCATATTTTTACTGTACATTTCTATGCTTAAATATGTTTAGATACCCAAATACTTGCCACTGTGTTACAGTTGCCCACAATATTCAGTATAGTAACATGCTGTACAGGTCTGTAGACTAGGAGTAATAGGCTACACCATACAGCCTAGGTTTGTAGTAGGATATACCATCTAGGTTTGTAGTAGGCTATACCATCTAGGTTTGTGTAAGTATGCTCTAAGATGTTTGCACAAAGACAAAATCACCAAACGATGCATTTCTCGAAATGTAGTCATGTCATTAAGCAACACGTGACTGTAAGATGACAGTCACGAATTTGGAGTGAATTTTAGCTCTGCTGTTGATGGCTTCAGAAAATTGCACTTAGCTCTTATCCTTTTTAACTAAGTGAGGTGAGGGCAAAGGAGAAATATGCTCTGAAGTATTTTTAAAAATAGAAATCTCAACATCAGTACTACTTCTTTCAAGAATTGTAAACTGGATGTGAGGATATTACAGCACTGCTGTTTCTAAATATTTTCATTTGCTTTTTCTCCGTGAAGGCTAATTTCATAATTATGAGAATACCAATTCTATGTACTTCATCTGGTTGCTGTAAGAATCAAATGAGATGATGATTCTGCAGGTATTTTTTAAGCTATAGCACATAATTAAAAGGTAAGTTATTTTAATTATCATAACCTGGTTGAAATCATCCATTACAGTGTTAATTCTCAGTTTTAGGGATAGAGGTGAGGTACCATGAAACTATTGCTCTTGTAAGAAATAAAGGTAGAAATTACAAGCTGCTCTACAGCCCACTGAACCATGACCTTGAAGTTCGTGCATCACTCTTGGAAGCTGCATGCTCCCTTTCCCTTTTTTCTCATATCTCTTTTTCTTCCCCTGCTTCCTTCTGTGTCAGTAACTGATTAATTGTTAAGGCTCCAGTGACTTTAATTAGGCTCAACCTCTAGCATATTCTCCAGCTCCAAAATCTAAAGTAGTTAGGCTATGTGTTTATTTTTTTACATTTAATTTTTTTCCATAAAGAATTTAGGTTCCCTAAGAGATTATCTGTACATGCATTTTTCATGACTCAAATTATATGCATCAGAGAGAGCTCAGAAAATCACCACTAAACAGGGACCAACTTCTGCACCGAACTAATTCAGTTACTATAGCCTTGGATGAAGAATCACTATGGATTTGAAAAAAAGAATGTGCTACCACTGATTGAGGCTTTTTTATATGTTGAACACTGTAATAAGTTATTTACATAATTGTCTCAGATAAAAGTCCAATAATTCTGCAAAGGAAATATTATTATCCCCATTATATAGATGAAGAACTGAGGCTTAGTGAAACTCAGGTGATTTGCACCAAATCATGCACCTGGTAATAAACAGGGGCAAGATTTAAATTTAATTCTGGAGAACACCAAAAACATGACATCATAGTAGGAGAGTTTGTTAATTTGTTAGCTTGTTGTGGGATTATTCACTAAACTTAAACCCTGATGTGCTTATGAGCATAAAGCAATATTATAATCCTCTTAATTCTGAACAGAGGGCCATTTGGTCTAATTCTCTATATAGTCTATAAATGTGTGTAGTAGTTTCCAGTTTTCCCCCTTTCCTCGCTCAGGCTTCATTTTAGCTGTAGCACTCCCCCTAGCATAATCTGTTCAACTCCGTATTTCCTCACAATTCACTTTGTGTGAGGATTCCTCCCATATTATCCCTCCACTGTTCCTGCCTCTCGGTCCTAAATCTACTGGGAATCATGTGCAGAACTTTCATTAGGGGCTCTCTCACCCTAATGGACTCTTTCTACCTATGACAATATTCCCCATTCCTCTCCATAAAATCTCCTATTTTTCTGTTAATTAGGCTTGCCCTGGTCTACACAGACTTTGACATTTCTCCTTCTTTGTAAATTCTTCATTCTTGAATCTTGTCACTCCTTCTGTCTTAGTTCATTTGGGCTACTCTAACAAAATATCAGAACTGGTTAGCTTATAAATAACAGACATTGGTTTCTCACTATTCTGGAGGCTGTGTTGTCCAAGATCAAGGTGCCAGCAGATTCAGTGTCTGGTGAGAGCCTATTCCTCATAGGCGGCACCTTCTTGCTGCATCCTGATGTGGTGAAAGAGGCCTCTTTCCTAAGGACTCTGCCCTGACCTAATTACCTCCCAAAGGGCCCCACCCCCTAATACCATCACTTTGGGGTTAAAGTTTTTACTATATGAATTTTGGGGTGAAGAAACACAAACATTCAAACCATAGCACCCACTCTGCATTCAGTCACACAATTTTCTATAATTCTTTTCAAGTACAATCATTAGTTGATAATTCATTGATTTCATAATATTTTTATGTCATATTTACCTCTCTCATTTCTCTTTCTAATTGTGAACTTTTCAAACAGCAAGAGCTACTGTTTCTTCAACTTCCCATAATTTCTAAAAGATGTATTTTCCCTTACTGAATGTCTCAATCAATATTGATAATGCCAGTGGAACAAATCACAGAGTAAGATTATAAGTTTTATTTCGAATGCATATAACATTCAGATTAACAAGACGTTAGATACATCAAGATTTTTCCAAATCTCGTAAAAACAAGAGGGAAAACATAAATGTAATCATAGGATCTATTTTTCTTTAAACATTTAGCATGTTTACTATGTGAACATAATATCTAACTTGTGGAACAGAAGATTTGTCACTTTATAAATTACAAAAGAAGATACGTTTCTCAGCATCTGAATTTTCCTTTTTATTGTCACGATTTTGATGTCATAAAAGATACTCAGAAAATTTGAGATGATTTTCCAGATGTTATAATAAATACTACATGGAGTTAATATTTTTTCCTTTTGTTCAGGGGAGCTGAGTCTGTTTTCTCATTTTGTAATTTTTTCACTTAGCTGCAAGGCAAAGTCAAATTGCCAAAAGCTGAGACATATTTTGCCAGTTCTGAAAGAAAATCACTTGAAATTGTTGAAAGGATATGAAATGCTAACATTATGAACTACATCTAAACTTAAACTGATGATTTGTTCATTTGTCAAGAACAAAACTGGCTACCAAAAAATTCATAAAAAGTGCATAGCCTGGACACACCTTCTCAGAATGCCAATTTTCCTCCCTACAGGTCATTTAAAAAGAACCCACTGATTCATCCACTCAAATCTAGTCATTTCACCAAAACTACATATTTTGGTCTACACTTTCCTCTCTCTATCTTCTCTTTCCTCAAGCAATGTAAACCACAATGGGTAGCTATGGCGTCATTAAATGTCTGTTCAACTACACAGAACTCAAAGAAGTGTGCTCAGAAACAGCCCCCTCACTCCAGCCTTTTTTTCACAGATGATTATCCTGGCTCACCTTCCGCTGGACACAATGACTTCTGCTGGTGAAGGGTAGTTGGAATAAAGGTGAATTAAACTGAGATATAGTAAGCAATAAAGAATCTGTCTTAGAAAAGACTGGATGTATTTCTCTGTTCTCATGCTGCTAATAAAGACATTCCAAAGACTGGGTAATTTATAAAGAAAAAGAGGTTTAATAGACTCACAATTCCACATGGCTGGGGAGGCCTTACAATCATGGCAGAAGGTGAAAGGCACAGCTTACATGGCAGCAGGCGAGAAAAGAAGTACCAGCAAGGAAAATGCCAGACACTTATAAAACCATCAGACCTTGTGAGAACTCACTTGCTATCACAAGAACAGTATGGGAGAAACTGCCCCCATGATTCAGTTATCTCCACTTGGCCCTTGACACATGGAAATTATTACAATTCAGGATGAGATTTGAGTGGTGACACAGAACCAAACCATATCACTGGATATCTGCTTACCAAATTTATTCCTTTTCTTGGTAGCCCATGTAGAATGCATTTCCCACCCTTCCTTAATTTTACCATAAGATTGAGAGTTAACCACAGGAAGGTGATCAGAAATCGTGTTTACCACTTTCAGGCATCTCCAATGCAATTCTCCCATGGCTTTGCCCCATTGGATGGCTGCAATGGAGATGAGCTTCCAGGGCACATGTCAAATATGATAGATCCATATGAAGAAAGGAGCCTAGACTCCTGATTTATCACTTCAAGGAAAGCCATCCAATAGCCATCCAACATTGGACTGTTGCAAGTGGAAAGAAAAAAAAAGCTTTTGCATTACGTTAAGCTGCCAAAATAAAGGGGTTATCTATCAGAGGCTCATGTTAGCTTAATTAATACAAAAATTTGTACCCTGAACACACCTTGCAATTTTTCTTCCACTGCAAAAATTTTAATTAAGGGACATCGGCTTGGTGCTAGGATGTTGACAGAAACTAATATCCAAGCTTGGAAAATGGAGACCCATGTTATGCAGGGACAAAGCACTTAGTAAAGATATTTCTGCTTCTGGAATGGCCAAACTGACCAACTGCTTAATCAGATAACAATGAAAAAGCAAAAAACAATTACCTGAATGCACTGGAGAGTAACAAAAGCAGGTAGATTCTGGAAAGGAATCAACTCTCAAAAGAAAAGAACGGTCCCAGGAAGATTTTTGTGGTTGTTAGCCCAAGAAGAGGCCTCAGTGGGTAATGTGCACTGTGACTAAAATTCTGACAGAAAACTCAGTCTTTCCAGCAGAAAGAGCAGTGGATAACAGGAAACCACGTTGCTGCAAAGTGAGGAGGAATCCTGGAAAGAAGAGGTCCTAGAGATGGAACCTCAAATCTGTATATTAGCTCTGCTCAAATCTCTGGCTAATCCCTGAACCATACATACATAGGGAAGACTCTGAGCCCCATAACTAATGATTACAGAACTGAAATGTTATTTTAACTCCTTCCCAAGAGATGGAGTTTTCCGTTTGAGTCCAATTAAACTGCTATTAAGACTACAACACATAGACCAAAAAAATAAAAATAAAAATCAAGATTTGGAAAAGCAATATGATAGTATGCAGAGTCTCCATACAAAACATTCAAAATATTTGGGATACAATTCAAAAGTACTCAAAATATAAAGAAACAAGCAAATGATAGCTCATTCTTAATAGAGACTATGAGTTGACTCAGCTGCAGACAAGAAATTTAAAGCAGCTACATTAGCAAAGCTCAAAGATGGGAAGAATAATATGCTTGGAATGAGTGAAAGTATGGAAAAGCTCAGTGAAGAAAGAGATACTATAGAAAGGATTTATGGAAATTCTGAAACAAAAAAGGATATCTGAAATTTTACAAATTCACTGGATGGTCTTAAAGGAAATGGGAGATTACAGAGTAGTCAGCATTGAAAATAGATGAATAAAAAATATCCGATCTAAAAAACAGAAAGAATAAGATTGAAGGAAAATAAAATAGTCTCGGAAACCTATAGAATAACATCAAAAGGTAGAACATATATGTCATTACAGTCTCAGCAGGAGATGAATAATAGGGCAGAATAAAATATTTGAATAAATAATGGACAGAATTGTCCTAAGTTTTGTAAAAGACATAAATTTACAGATTGAAGAAGCTTGGTGAAGCCCAAGAAAGGTAAATGCATGTATAATGACATTTAGGCTTCTCCTAATCAAATTGCTGACCAAAGATACAGAGAAAACCTTGAAAATAGCAATAGATGACGCAATTACCTACAGCGGAAGAGTAATTCAAACGACCTGACTTGCTATTACCATCAATGGAAGCCAGAAGACAGGGAAACAACATCTTTAACATACTGAAGAAGTGCTGGGAGTGAAGGCTGTGGGGAGGAGAGGTGGCAGTGGAGAGGATAGGAGCAGGGAGAACATAGGGGAGAAGCTGTCAACTTAGAATTCAGTTAATCCTTCAATAATGAAGGCAAAATAAGGACATTTTCATATAAAAGTAAACTAAGAAAAAAACATCTAGCAAAACCATCACTTATGATGAAATGGAAGGCAAACTACATCCATACTGAGCCCAAGACATAGGATAAGTGGTAGGAATGAATGAGATTAATCTATACCTACTCTTGCTTTAATCTTTTGGCAAAGTATCACAAGAAAAGTACAAGCTCAGGAGCAAGCTGACCCATTTGCAAGCAAAAATGAAAGAGAACAGGAGAGCCCAGAAATTTAAGATCTTGAAAAATTAGAGCAGCAGACTGGAATTTATGCGAGTGAGAAATACAATTCTATTTTGTTAAGCCACTGAGGATTTTCTGTAACAGCAGTAAGGCTTATCATAATTAATATAACTAATGAATTTTTTTATTTGAGGAGTGTGTGTCTGTGTTCATGTGTAAATTAGGGCAAAAGGTTTACAAATTCTAGGTTGCTTATGCTGTGTAATTCTGTGACACTATTTTATGTTTATTTAGTGCTTGTGTGAATCGGGACGACTTTATAAAACATTGTAATCATTTTCTTTTCAGAGCCATCATTTCAAATCACTACTGTGTATAGAAAGATGCAGTTCAACATACATTGTTGATACAATATAATAAATGAAAAAGGAAATCAATCACGCCTAAAATAAGAGCAAATAATCATCTTAAAATGGACTTTTCATTTCGTCATTACCAACAGAGTAAAGAGAGCTTTCTTACAGACTTGCCTGAAGAAACTTTGACGAAAAATGGAAGTCCAACTTTCTAAAAGAGTCATAAAGTGTAATGTTGAAAGCAGAGAAATGAACTTGTTTGCTGAAGTGATAATTCCCTTTTTCAAAGTTCTATAAAATTATTTCTTGTTCAAATACAGTAAATAATCATTTTTATTCCTCCATATTATCTCACTTTCTACATAATGCAAAGCCCTGGACCTTTTGTTAAAAAAAAAAAAAAGTTATTTTAGAGTTTATAAAGACCTTGCTCCAAGTAGAGACTTACTTAGTCCTCACTATTGTATGAAGTTCATAAGCCAGAAAATTGTGTGAACCCATTTTATAAAAGAAGAGACATATGATCTTATCATTTAATAGGACTCTAATTTCTAATTAATCAAATATTACCAATTAAATAATAGGTCTGAATTCATGATAGACATGAAATGGTTTTATTTTCTGTAAAGACCGCCCTGCTTCCCCCCCACCAGGCAGCAAAAATAGCTTTCATATCAGGTCTAGTATTAAGAACTAATTTGGGCCAGGCAGGATGGCTCAAGCCTGTAATCCCAGCACTTTGAGAGGCCAAGGCAGGCAGATCACCTGAGGTCAGGTGTTTGAGACCAGCCTGGCCAACATAGGGAAACTCCATCTTTACTAAAAGTACAAAAATTAGCCAGGCGTGGTGGAGGGCGCCAGTAATCCCAGCTACTTAGGAGGCTGGGGCAGGAAAATCGCTTGAACCCCGGAGGCAGAGGCTGCAGTGAGCTGAGATTGCACCACTGCACTCCAGCCTGGGAGGCAAATGCGAGACTCCATCACTAAAAAAGAACTAATTTGGTGAAAAATCCCGGTCTCATCTCCTTTTATCTCCACTGCTCAAACTTTGCCCATGCTAAAAGAAACCTTCCTTGGAGAGAGTAGTAGAGATGTCTCTTACGGTCCTACCTCCTCTATGTTGGCAGTGAGGAAAATTACGGAGAAAAGGCAAGAAGTTTTTGCTCTTAAATGGAAAAACAATCTTTTGGGTTGTTCTTATTTCTTTGGATTACATCAAATGTTCATTTATAGCCGGTCTATGACAGATATCAGAAGACTCTCAATATTTTGTTAAAACCTTGTGAGTTTTCCAACAAGGGAGATGTGACTGGGCCATGAAGTGCTTGGCTCATCACTTTTGGACAATGGTAGCCCTGGATATGGTGAGCTTGATTGAATAGGGGACAGAGTAGCAAGACACACGGTATGGAAAGTGGAGGTATGAGGGGAAGCCCTTGCCCCCATCCAAATTGGAAGTAGATGGAGCAAATACGGATTTTCCCAGTGGATCCCAGCCACTGCTGAGTGGTGAAACAAAATTTCTATTTGAGTGAAAAATCCCAAATTTGTAATACTATGTAAGATATTTTAATTCCTTTTAAACTATTTTTTAATTTTTTTCAAAAAGTTATTTCAAAGTGCTAAACTAGAAAATGCAATATTTTAAAGTATTTCCTGTGATGACCAATAAATTCAGAAATGGGAATTCATAAAAGCTTCATATATACACATTTTAATATTTATATTATGATCAGATATTGGAAAAAGTTATATCTGATACACTAACAGAAAAAAACGATTTGTGAACATGTTTTGTTTTATATGACAATTATATCCTGATTGCAAACAATGACATATGTAATATAAATGTGCTAATACAGTTAATAATGAATTGCATATTTTACATTCAGAAAACCTTTTATTTTCAGGCAATAAGTTAACAGTATCTACTATTTATATAATACTTTTATAGATCACATGAGTTATTCTTTTTTTAAAAAAATTACTCCATTAACTTATGTTACAATTTTGTAAGGAAAGGATTATCACCTCCATTTTCAACTGAGATCATTAAGACTGTAAGCAACTTGCACAAGGTCACATATTCTAATAAGTAGCTCAACCTAGTATTTAAATGTGTACTTTTTGACATGAAATTCTCCTCCTTCACCACTTTTCTATCTTATTTTCAGATGAGTGGAACAGACTACCTTGTTCTGAAATGCATTTCAGTTCTTGGCACATTTGTTCAAGAAATATTTATTGAAAATATTTTGCTAAACTAGGCACTAGGCAAATAAAGAAATTAGTGAGAAGTTTACAGTTGTGTTATACCAATTTGAACAAATCTGAGAAGCCAATCTATGTCCATGCCTCATTTCCCTATCGAGGGAGAGCCTCCATCAACATCCTCGTCCAATGGAAGGAGCGTGAAACTGATAGACTGTCAGAACTGTAGATGAATCTTGGCATTGTTATTTACTATTTGCATGACTAGATTTTTACTTTGCAACGTATGTCATTTGTAAAATGGTGTTACGGGCACCCACCTTATTCAAAGGCTAGAAGTAATATATACAAATCACAACGGTGTTAAGAACATATACTTTATTTAAAGGTTAGGAGTAATATATACAAATCACCTATTATAGTGCCTAACATATCACTTGATAGATCCTCAAACATTAGTAGACTTTGTTATTGTTGTTATTATTACATTAAGAGTGTAATGGTAAGTTGTTACATAACAAAACATCTCCAAACTTCATTTCTTAAACTTTTTAAAATTGACGCATTATAATTATACCTGTTTATGGGAGTACAATTTGATGTTTCAATACATGTATATACTGTCTAAAAATCAAAACAGGGTAGTTAGTATATCCATCACCTCATGCCAAAATTTTTTTTTTAAATGATTATGTGGATTGGCCTGGCAATTGCTCAGGGCCAGCTCAGCTGGAGCTAGTTTGTTCAAAATAGCCTCACTCATGTGTTTGGCAGTTGGCACCTTATTGGTCTAGGGGGTCCTCAACTTGGATGGCTTCTTTCTGCTGCATATAATGTCTCATGTTGTGGCAGGATAGTATAAGCTTCTTCACATGAATGTCTTAAGGTTCAAAATGGGAGCAAAAGAGCAAGCCTCAATACAGAAACACTTTCCAAGACTCTGCTCACTTCTCGTTTGCTAATATCTCATTAGCCAGAGCAAATCACGAGGCAGATCACAAGGGTCATGAGTCAGTGTGGGAAGATGCTAAACAAAGACATGGATAGAGGGTATAAAATAACTGGTAGATATTTTTACAATCTACCAAAATTTCTTTCTTTCTTTCTTTTTTTTTTTTTTTGAGATGGAGTTTCACTCTTGTCACCCCAAGCTGGAGTGCAATGGCGCAATCAGCTTACTGCAACCTCTGCCTCCCAGGTTCAAGTGATTGTCCTGCCTCAGCCTCCCAAGTAGCTGGGATTACAGGCATCCGCCACCATGCCCAGCTAATTTTTGTATTTTTAGTAGAGTCGGGGTTTCACCATATTGGTCAGGGTGGTCTCAAACTCCTGACCTCAGGTGATCCACCGCCTAGGCCTCCCAAAGTGCTGGGATTACAGACGTGAGCCGCCACGCCAGGCCAACAATCTACCAAAATTTCTAAATATCAACTTTCCTTAGAACTCATGGCACAAATTGTAAGGCAAACTCATAATTTAACACCTGGTTTATTTAATCCATTTCATTTGGCATGGATACGTCTCATTTTCTCAATTCTAATTCTGCTTTCTATCGAATAATGTTATTCTGAGTTCATAATATTTGTGTATGTCCTTCTCTATACCTACGACTCATTTCTTTCAAAAATAGACAAAATGTATGAGTGATTTTTCTACTTGGATACAGAAATAGGTAAATATATAATATCTGTCTTCAAAGCTATGTCACATTGATAAGACTTAAAGCATTTCCCTAACATCTGCTGCTTGTGACTGTGCTATGGGTCTTGTTGCTATTTGAAGAATGGTACTCTTGTGCTGTAGACAGCAATTTTGCTCAAACTAGGTCACCTGTCCTTGACTACCACACACTAGCACATTCTGTAGGCTACAGTTGTTCCTCCGCTCTCTGCTGTGATGTTACATTGCTTCGCGTTATGATTCAGTGAATTCTTCAAATGCATCCTGGGGCACTCGTGCTCAACCAATGTCCTGTGGCTTCATCTAAGCTACTTTTCAGTGTACTTTATTCCTTTATCACTCATAATCTTAACAGGTCTGCGCCCAGCAAGGGTGAATTTCCAATATTTGAGAACCTGCTTGCTGAAAGCTTTGCCAACCAAATGTTATGAGGAGCAATTTATGAGAAGCAAGAATATAATTTACCCAAACAACTAAATGAGGCATTTATAAATGTTCTGGTCACATAAATAAAAGTGGACATATTCACATCACACAGGTGAAAAACTATAAAGCATTAAGTTCTGGACCAAAATCAACTGTTCTGTCTCCTCCAGGATGCAGTGACATGTACACTTCAGGGAAAATTTAAACAATAAGATTACCAGCTTTTTGGGTGTGATGTTGTTCCCTGAAGCTCAACTAACAAACATGATCTTAAGTAAAAAACTGCTTCTTTCTGGAAGACTGCTGCATTATTTATAGTCTCTAAAACAGTGATGACTTTCCCTTTTGTGTTGATTTATTTTAAATTTGAAGCACTTTACTCTGAGCATGACCCAAGCTTCCTCTGTTACATGCGTTGATTTGACTCCTGTTTTGCTGTTGCAACTATTGCCCGGTCCAGGCATACCTGGGCTGCTTCGAAGCACAAGAGGTCAATCAAGAGGGACTGGCCATAATGACAATAAAAGGGAAAATTGCCTCAGGTTTGTATACCCATCAGGAAAGTTATCAAAACAAACCAAATGTTCTTGCTTTAGTCACAGGAGCTGAACTCCCTCCACCTTAGCACTTGCGGTCTTAAACTGCTGCACCTGCACCTGGCCTGCCATGGACAGAAGAGATTTGTCTTTACCTTCACTGTGAAGTCAAAAGCACCTTCACCATCCATGCCATTTTTATGGGAAGGCAGATGTGCTACACATTCTTAACAAGAGTATTTTAATTTACTTGGGTGACTCCCAAGCAAGCTAGCTTTGCTCTGTTTTTTTTTGTTTGTTTGTTTTTTGTTTGTTTGTTTATTTGTTTAAATAGCCCCCTTCAGTCTTAATTCTTCCTGTATACCATACCACCAAATCTTTCAAACTCCTCAGAATCATTGATCCTAAGAGATCCACTGGATCTCCAGGCTAATGGGATTCTTATGCCTGAGGATAGCTCTTCCTTACTTGTCAATATTATCATGTAGATTTGCTTCTCCTGCCTGGAATCCTGTTGTACCTCTAAGGGCCAAACTGATGCCTTACTCACTTTTCTCAGTCATTAATCTGTAAGATGGTTTTATAGATTAAAATGCCTTTGCTTCTTCAGTAATTACATTACTTTGGATGAGATTTAAAATGCACTCCTTATGTTGTAGCAATATAAGGCACCCTTGGGGCCCTATGTCCATGTTCCCCTGAACTCCATCTCTAGATTCTGCTCTGCCCTCTCTCCTACGTACATCATTCTCTTTTTCCCATACAGTCTTTGCCTCTTCCCCCATCATGTCTTGTTTTTCTTTTCTTCCTGCTTTCCGTCTTGTTTCCTACTCCTCATCTCCGTCTACTCATTACGATTTCCTCTCTGTAGAGATTTTTGTAGAGTATATCCTCTTTCTGTGTGTCAGTCTATGTGTGTCTGTGTGCAGGCATGTGGATGCAAGTGTGACAGTGTGTCAGGAACGAGCACAGTGGGAAGAGATGGAAACAGATACAGTCATTGAGGCAGAAGTCTACCTCAAAGTTTCATAAGTGAGAGGATTTGAGTATCCTTGCCTAAAAGAATCAAAGGAACCTACGTTCACAGCTAAGAATGAAGAGAAATTCCTTTCAGCTATAACTCAGAATCCTCAAATATTTAGTGCAATGTGTATTTGTCCCTCCAAGACTCTTAAATACAGAACATTTCCGATTATGTAAAAAGCATAATTTACTTAAGTAATGATTACTTGCTGACTTCTGTGAGGTAAATTTTATATGATGTTGCTCGCATTTTCTATTTTGTCTTTATTTGGGCTGCAGCCGTACCCACCTGATCTGTCATGTGCATTTTCAGTGAGGCTCCCTGAGGTTCTTACAGTGATGAATAAAGGAATCTGCACATTTGTACTACACAGACTTTGCTGATTTAATGAGAGCCATGCCAGTGGTACTAAATCAAGCCTATCATTTCCGAAAGGCTTTGATTTTCGGACATTAATACCAATTACCATGTTTTTGTTGACAAGACAATGAAATATCCAGGATAATATTGGTCAAAATTATATTTACTGAAAGGAGAGGACTAATGTGGACCCCGGTATAGTATTAGCTTTTTTTTTTTAAAGGATAAGATTTTTCTGGAGGGAAAAAGAAACAACTGAAGGAAAAAAACCTTTTCGCTTCCAATGAAAATGGAACATATCTGTACTTTGACTTTTCATTTCATTCAAACCAGACTTGGTAGAACTCAGCAGGGTGGTGCCAGGGACATTCTCCAATTTCCTGGTCTTGTTCTACAGCAGCATATTAAGCTTTTGGAAACATCAATCAGGAGACAGAAAATTGATCTTTCAGCTTTTGAGGTAAGAACAAAAGGTATAGTATTGCCTTTTTTACTTCCTATGTTTTTTCCTCCCCACCTACTACCTGCTGTTCTGTTCCTTCCATCCTTCCCCTATAGATTCCACAATCCCCAGGTGCCATCTGCTTACTGCTCCTCTCTTTTCTTATTCCGGGATTCAATACTGCAGTCCTTATATGATTGTCTGGCCATTCATTCATTTATTCAGTCAATCAGTGGTTAATCAAACATATGAACATGTGTTGTATGTGGTGTTCTTATTATATTAATATTCATGTAATTTGTATAATTTTATGAAATAAGCTCAACTGTTTTACAATGTTGTGGGCATATAGCAGACATCACTATAAAACCATTTTCTGTCATGGGAAGCTTGCCAAAGATGGCAACAATGAAAGCTGGAACTTAAGAGAAATTCAGTGTAGTGTGAGAAATAAAAAAGTGAAGCTATTACTTGCTGGGATCAGTTGTTTTTCTTCTTCCTCTGAAAGCTGGTCTGCAAAGTTTGCTTCAAGAAAATTCAGTAGGTCCACAGCTTCCAGATCCATTTCATCTTCCAGTGGGCTTCCTTTGTCAGGAGCTCAGCCAAGCTGGGAGAGAGTGAGCTAGCTGAGCTGTCAGGTGTCTGAGTAGCCAATTAAGGCAACAAGTCAAAAAAGTGAAAAAGCCAAAGCTTTGATCACTTACTGTGATGGTATAAGCAACAGTCTAAAACCACAGGAAGTACCAACTCTCCCTGTTCCATTTTCACCCATGAGACAATGCACAAATTGAGGGTCAGGTGGATCTGCATAGACGTGGGGGTCATCTCACTGTTAAGGGAGCCCCTAACAAAAGACTTAGGCAGTTTTATAGACTCTGCAGTTGGGAGAGAGGGCAAGGGCTGAGGGTTATGAGTGGAAACGTACTGAGTCCTGAGTCAGAGTTGGGGAAAGTGTCTTCAAGGTTTTCGCTTCTGCCTCCTGTAAGGGGTCCTTGGTAGAGGCAACTGAAGACCTCTACTGTAGGCCTCAAATAAAGAGACCTAGGAATGAAAGCACCTGGGCTAGGACTGTAAATATGTGAAACAGCATGACCTGCCAGAGGGACGCGAGTCCTTACTGCAACTCCTCTCAGAAAGTAATGCACTGGCTTTGCACCATAGTGTGAGGAGGCAGCTTCCTCCTGAATGGCCTGCCAGGTACAGCTTTGGAATTGCCTATGGCCAGGTATGAAAAATCACACATATGTTCTTAACCATGAGCTGAAATCCTCATTCTTTATTTTTCATTTTTGGCCTAGAAAGTAGAGAAAAAGCAACAGAAGTAAAATTTGTGTGTAGATTTGAAGAAGTCCCAGAACACGAAGAGAGAAATTAAAAATGAATTGTCAATGGGTCTGAGAGATGGAGGTATAGAATCCCTGCCCCAATACCGTAGTCTCAATAAAGATATTTTTTGTAATTAGAAAATAGATTTCTTTCATTCTAGCTGAAGCATTCAAGGGGAAAACAGAACAGACAGAGATGTGAAGAATTGCAGTCTCTTACGTGAAAAAGTTCTTTCTACTGCATTCCACTCCCATGAGTTCCTAATCTCTTTAACTATCTCCATCGCTAAGTTGTCTGATTTCATCTTCTCAAAGATGGAGGACACAGATGGACAGAAATGTGTGACATCCTGAGAGAATATCAATTATGGAGTTAGTCCTGAGATCCTTGGACAAGTAACTGAATGTGAGTCTCAGTTTCCTCACCTGTACAATAATGACAGGAATACTGAACTGATAAACCTACAGGACAGTTCTCCAGCAGCTTTAGAATGACCCAGTTCTCTCCCTGTTCTTCCTTATATTTCTCAAGAGTAACAGTAGAGATTTCTGGGAATGCAATAACCTGAGATAGGGAAGAACTGCCTGAAACAGCCCAGGCCTTATTTCTGTCCCTGTCTCTCCTAGGGAATGTATCATCTTGAGTTAGGGAGAAACTGCCCTGGATGGCCCAAGCTTTGCTCCTGTCTCCTGTGGAAGTGGGATATCCATCAAAGCTTTCCCCAGTGAGTCACATTGCTCCTGAGTAGAACGCAAGGTGAGCTGGCCTATGGGGTCCCTCAGCTGTGGTGTAACTGGAGCAAGTACAGCCAAGACTTCATCTTCCCCAGACAGCTTCCTTGAGCCTTGGGGGCCTAGCTCACAATGGATCCTAGGCTTCTTTTGTCCCTGCTGACTATCTGTAAATAATAAATTCACTTCTGATAACTTGTGTGTGAGTGTGTTCTGTCTCACAAAACTCAGATAAGTTGGTAACCAGTATGCAGTGAACCTGCTGCAAAACACCTACCTCGGAGTGGAGAGTAGAGGAGATGATGAATGTGCCTCTCACATTGTACCTGATTATTTAATGATAGCTTTTGACCTTTTTAAAAATAATTCTTTAGTTCCTGAAGTACCAAGTACATTGTTATGTGAAAACTTTTTAGCCATATGTTATGAGTGTAAGTGGCAAAAAAGAGATAGGAGAAGAGAGGATAAACTTATGTTTGATCCAAACTTAAAAATTATTTTTCAGAATTCAGGTTTTAAGAGCTCTATGGTGATCTTGAGGCTACAGTTAGAGACGGGGTTAGCTGGGAATGTCTGCCAATATCACTAGTCATCTGGCTTTAGAAACTCTAAACACAGAGTATAGCAATACCCCATATTTAAATCAAAATAAAAATGCAGTAACCTGCAAAATAAATGTATGACATCTGATGGTATTTTTTCTTTATACTGACTACTTTGATGCTTTTTAAAGGGCAATGTTAAATACCAAATTCTTTTGAAAAAATAATTCTTTTTGCTTTGCTGATGTGTAGGAATGTGCTTAGTCTTTCTCATCAGGGATTCAACCAAAAAAGGGTCCAAATCCTTTCCCCTGACTTTTCTTTCCCATGCTCCACTCTAGATGCTATGCTTAAACGTCCATTATTCAAAATACTTTAGTGCAATTCTGGTTTCAGGCAAGCTTGAGTAAAACTCTATCCTGCTTCTCTCACTGAATGCAAATATAAACATGACAGAATTCTTGGAGCTGCTATCTGAGGACTCTGAAAAGTAGATGGTAGCAGGCAAATTGGAAAAGGAGTTCAGAATTCAAAGTACCTTCAAATCAGCAATGAGTTTTCATTCCCCATTCCCCGCCTGTTATCACCTTGGTTGAAATCAAAGCCAGCCAGGTGTGGACAGAAAAAGCTTTAGGCGGTATCCTCATGTTCTGATCTGAGGAGCAAGAAAGGAGTGAGCGAGCGTGAAGAAAATCCCTTGTTTTCTTTTCTTTTATTCTCTTGTGTCTCAGTACCCAGAAAATCAAGTTGCAGCAGGGCAGCCACAGAGGCTAGGTATGTGTGGAAAACTCTGAGAGAGGAGAATCCTTTCCCACCAGAGCACCTGTGGTTCCCAGATCAGGGGGAGAATGTCTGCTGGTTTTTTCTCTCTCTGTCCTCTCAACACCTGACCCCAGATCTGCAGATATAGTTGCATGAAGTAAATGATAGGGTGGAGAAACTAAAGCTTCATACTTTTGGCCATAAGAGGTAAAATGGGGATCCCAGGGGACCATAAAGTGTCAAGGAGATCCCGGTGAGGAGGGATCTCAAAAGAGGTATCCCATAAAGTGGTGTATACGTTTCTGGACTCATCTCTGCATAGATTAGACCCTACATAAAATGGCAAAGGCTTTAAGAGTAGAAATATGGGCTAGAATGCATCCAAGGGCCCAGAAATGGAGGCACACATGTCAAATAGCAGTGCAAAGCCTGGAAACTGACCTCATATTGAAACCACAGAACACAGAAAGCAACCCCTACAATAAGAAAACAGAGTTATAGCAAGTAATCCAACAAAAGAGATAGAGATATAAAAGAGTACTGATTAGTAATAAAAAGGCAAAAAAATGGGAAAAAGTAAACAAAGAATATATGGGGCAATTAGAAAACAAATAGCAAACTGGTTGGGAGGCAGAGGTGGGAGGATTGCTTGAGCCCAGGAATTCAAGACCAGCCTGGGCAACATAGGGAGACCTCATCTCTACAAAAAATAAAAATAAAAGTAGCCTAGCATGGTGATATGTGCCTGTAGTCCCAGCTACGTGGAAGGTTGAGGTGTGAGAATCACTTGAGTCTGGGACATAGGCTGCAATGAGCCATGATCATGCCACTGCACTCCAGCTTGGTGACAGAGCAAGACTCTGTCCCAAATAAATAAATAAATAAATAAAGCAAACTGACAAATCGGAATCTTACATTAGTAATCGCATTAACTGTAGATGAACTAAACTCCCAATAAAAATAATAGATCATTAGCTTAAAAATCATGACAGAATTTACTGCCTATAAGAAACTCACCTGAAATATAAGGATACAAATAGGTTAAAAGTAAAAGGATGAAAAAGGATATACCATGCTAACACTAATCAAAAGAAAGCTAGAGTAGCTACATTAATGTCAAACAAAGTAGATGTGCAAACAAGGAAAATTTCTAGTGATAAAGAGAAATATTGCATAATGACAAAAGAGTTAATTCAACTGGAAGACAAAAATAAATAAATCCTAAACATGTCTGCATCTAAAACAGAGCCTCAAAACACATGGGAAAAAAACTCTTCGAAAAGAAAGCAGAATAGACTGATTCACAATTATAAGTCGACATTTCTCTCTCCATAATAGACAAAGCAAATAAAGAGAAAATCAGCAAGAACATACAAAAATGGAACAACACTATCAACCAACTGTATCTAATTGACATTTATAGAACACTTTATCCAACACTAAATATACATATTATTTTCCAGTGCCTATGATACATTCACCAAGATAGACCATAGCAAAGTCATGAAACAAACCTGAACAATTTTTAAATAATTTATATCATATAAATATAGTCTGAACATAATGAGATTAAACTAAAAATTATTAATAGAAATATAGCTGTTAAATCTCCAAACACTTGGGAATTAAACAGCACATTTATCAATAATCCATGGGTCAAAAAGGAAGTCTCAAGAAAAATAAGAAAATATTTTAAAATTAACAAAATTGAAAACACAACATGTCACAACATGTGAGACACAACTAAATGAGCACTGCAAGGGAAACTTATAGGACTGTATGCTTATAATAAAAAGGAGAAATATCACAAATAAGTAATTGAAGTTTTGCTTTGAAAAATCAGAAAAGAAAGCAAAAATATTTGATGTGAGCAGATGAAAGAAAATCTTGAATTGAAAGAAAAGAATTAAATTCAGAAATATATATAAACAATACATAATGAGAAGGGGAGTTATTCCAGGAATATAAGGCTGATTGAATGTCTGAAATCAATTAATATAATACAACAAACTAACAGACAAAAAGAAAAAAAACAATATGTCAATTGATGCAGGAAAATCATTTGACAAAATCTAACCCCCATTCTTGATTAAAAACTTTCAGTAAACTAAGAGTACAAGGGAATCTTGACCTGATAAAGAGCATTCAGAAAAACCCACAGCTAACATCACACATTTGGTGAAAGGCTGAATGTTTTTCCCCTAAAATCAGAAATAACAAAGAAAGCATGTGCGTTCTCAATACTACTGTGATATGCAAAATAAAGGTCCCCCCAAGATGTTCATGGCCCCAATCCCCCCAAATTATGCTTATGTTAGGTTATATGACAAAGGAAAATTAAGGTTGCAGATGGAATTAATATTGCTAATCAGCTAATTATGGGATAGGAAGATTATCATGTGTTATCCCAGCAGGCTCAATATAATCATGAGGCTCCTTTTAAGTGGGAGAAGGAAGCAAATAAGTCAGTTAGAGAAAAATCTGAAGATGCTACACTGTTAGCTTCAAAGATGAAAGGGGTCTATGAACCAAGGATTGTGGGCAGAAAAGTGACTCACTCCTACAGCCTCCAGAAAGGAAGGCAGCCCTGCCAATATCTTGATTTTAGCTACATTAGACCGGTTTCCGTTGTCTGACCTCCAAAACTGTAAGATACTAAATAATGTTGTTTTAAGCCACTAAGATTGTGACAATTTGTTACAGCAGCAGTAGGAAACCAATGTAACTGCTATCAACATAGTAGTTAAAGATCAAGCAAGTGCAATAAGGTAAGAAAAAAAAGACATATAGACTTTAATGGAAAAAATTTAAATGTCCCTATTTTTAGATGAGATAATAGTCTATGGAGAAAATCCTAAGAAAACCTTAAGGGGAGGTCTATTAAGAAATTTCCAGAACCAATAAGTGAGTTTAATAAGTTTTGAAAATATAAAGTCAACATAACCTGTTATTTAGGAATGGATCAAAAATAAAAAAAAATAAAGTCAACACAAATCAAGTTTGAAAAATACGTAACATTTACAATACTCTAAGGTGTTTTTGGAAATATTGAAGTATAAATCTAACAAAACATGGCAAGATTTATATGCAGATGACTTCAAAACACTGATAAAATAAATCAAAGAAGACTGAAGTAAATGAAGAGACACACCCTCTTTATGGAATGGAAGACTCCATAAACAGGAGGACTCAATGGAAGATTCAATATAGTTAAGATGTCAATTCTTTCCAAACTGATCTACAGATTTAATGCAATTTTGCATTAATTTTGGAAAGTCAAAATATCAGCAAGAGTTTAGTTTTTTACGTAGAGAAACTTATTTTAAATCTTACACTGAAAGGCAAAGGGAAAGCCAAACAGTTTTGAAAGAATGTATTTGGAGTACTCACACCGTCTGATTTTAAGACTTTCTATAAAGCTTCAGTAATCAAGGCAGTGTGGAACTGGCTAAAGTATAAGCACATAAATCATTCAAGCAGAACAAATTATCTAGAAATAGACCCACACTTTTTGTCAAAGGTCCACGCCAATTCAATGGAGAAAAAATACTCTTTTCAAAAGTGATGGAAGAAGTGTATATTCATGTCTTAGTCAGTTCCGTCTACTGAGAACATTCTACAGACCAGGTGTTTTCAACAGAAGACATTTGTTTCTCTCAATTCTGGAGGCTGGGAAGTCCAACATCAAAGTGTGCTAGAAGATTTGATTCCTAGAGAGAGCCCTCTTCTTGGCTTGCAGAAGGCTGCCTTCTTGCTATGTCTTCACATGGTGAGAAGAGGGAGCAAGCTCTGGTCTCTCTTCCTCTTTTTGTAAGAACACTCAGCCAGGCATGGTGGTTCACACCTGTAATCCCAGCACTTTGGGAGGCCAAGGCAGGCAGATCACCTCAGGTCAGGAATTCAAGACAAGCCTGGCCAACATGGTGAAACCTAATCTGTACTAAAACTACAAAAATTAGCCAGAGGTGCATGCCTGTAATCCCAGCTACTAGGAAGGCTGAGCCATGAGAATCACTTGAATCCAGGAGGTGGACGTTGCAGTGAGCTGAAATCGCTCCACTACACTCCAGCCTAGGTGACAGAGGGAGACCCCATCTCAAACAAAACACTACTCGCATCGTGAGGGGGCCCCATACTCATTATCTCACCTAAACCTAATCACCTCTCAAAGGCCCCACCTTCAAATACCATCACATTGAGGGATCAAATATTCAGTCTATAACAATCCATATCCCCCTCAAAAAAAGAACCTTGATACCTAAACTAAACACTCATAAAAGGATTAACATAAAATATGTCACAGATTTAAATGTAAAACTTAAAAACATAAATCTAATATAAAACACACGAGAAAAAATTTTATGACCTGGGAATAGGCTTGTATCTAGAATATATTTTTTATACTCTCCAAGCTCAATAATAAGAAATCAACAACTCAAGTTGTAAAAAAAAAAAAAAAAAAGAGTAAAAGACTTGAAAAAGTACTTTATCAAAGAAGGTATTGTGATGGCAATAAGTAGATGAAAAGATGTTGAACATCCTTAGCCATTAGAAAAATACAAATTAAAACTATTTTGAATACCACTACAGATCTATTAGAATGACCAAATATTTTTCTGTCTTGCATTGAATTTTTTTCTTTTTGTGAGATATATTATACATACAAAAGAGTGTAAAAAGCATTTGTATACCGTTCAAGGAAAAATAAGAAAATACACTACCCTGTCACCACCCCCTGACCCAGGTTAAAATTAGGATGTTCCAGAACCTTAGAAGCCCCTCTTCTTTCCCTATCCAATTATATTTTCTTTTTTTTTATTATTATACTTCAAGTTCTAGGGTACATGTGCACAACGTGCAGGTTTGTTGCATATGTATACATGTGCCATGTCGGTGTGCTGCACAATTAACTCCTCATTTATATTAGGTATATCTCCTAAAGCTATCCCTCCCCCCTCCCCCAACCCCATAGCAGGCCCTGGTGTGTGATATTCGCCTTCCTGTGTCCAAGTGTTTTCATTGTTCAGTTCCCACCTATGAGTGAGAATATGTGGTGTTTGGTTTTTTGTCCTTGCGATAGTTTGCTGAGAATGATGGTTTCCAGCTTCATCCGTATCCCTACAAAGGACATGAACTCATCCTTTTTATGGCTGCATAGTATTCCATGGTGTATATGTGCCACATTTTCTTAATCCAGTCTATCATTGATGGACATTTGGGTTGGTTCCAAGTCTTTGCTATTGTGAATAGTGCCACAATAAACATACATGTGCATGTGTCTTTATAGCAGCATGATTTATAATCCTTTGTGTATATACTCAGTAATGGGATGGCTGGGTCAAATGGTATTTCTAGTTCTAGATCCCTGAGGAATCACCACACTGTCTTCCACAATGGTTGAACTAGTTTACACTCCCACCAACAGTGTAAAAGTGTTCCTATTTCTCCACATCCTCTCCAGCACCTGTTGTTTCCTGACTTTTTAATGATCACCATTCTAACTGGTGTGAGATGGTATGTCATTGTGGTTTTGATTTGCATTTCTCTGATGGCCAGTGATGATGAGCATTTTTTCATGTGTCTGTTGGCTGCATAAATGTCTTCCTTTGAGAAGTGCCTGTTCGTATCTTTTGCCCACTTTTTGATGGGGTTATTTGTTTTTTTCTTGTAAATTTGTTTGAGTTCTTTGTAGATTCTGGATATCAGCCCTTTGTCAGATGAGTAGATTGCAAAAATTTTCTCCCATTCTGTAGGTTGCCTGTTCACTCTGATGGTAGTTTCTTTTGCTGTGCAGAAGCTCTTTAGTTTAATTAGATCCCATTTGTCAATTTTGGCTTTTGTTGCCATTGCTTTTGGTGTTTTAGACATGAAGTCCTTGCCCATGCCTATGTCCTGAATGGTAATGCCTAGGTTTTCTTCCAGGGTTTTTATGGTTTTAGGTCTAACATTTAAGTCTTTAATCCATCTTGAATTAATTTTTGTATAAGGTGTAAGGAAGGGATCCAGTTTCAGCTTTCTACATATGGCTAGCCAGTTTTTCCAGCACCATTTATTAAATAGGGAATCCTTTCCCCATTTCTTTTTTTTGTGAGGTTTGTCAAAGATCAGATGGTTGTAGATCTGTGGTATTATTTCTGAGGCCTCTGTTCTGTTCCATTGGTCTATATCTCTGTTCTGGTACCAGTACCATGCTGTTTTGTTTTACTATAGCCTTGTAGTATAGTTTGAAGTCAGGTAGCATGATTCCTCCAGCTTTGTTCTTTTTTTTTTTTTTTTTTTTTTTTTTTGAGACGGAGTCTCGCTGTCGCCCAAGTTGGAGTGCAGTGGCGCGATCTCGGCTCACTGCAGGCTCCGCCCCCCAGGGTTCATGCCATTCTCCTGCCTCAGCCTTTTGAGTAGCTGGGACTAGAGGTGCCCGCCACCTCACCCGGCTAATTTTTTGTATTTTTAGTAGAGACAGGGTTTCACCATGTTAGCCAGGATGGTCTCGATCTCCTGACCTCGTGACCCGCCCACCTCGGCCTCCCAAAGTTCTGGGATTACAGGTGTGAGCCACCGCGCCCAGCCCAGCTTTGTTCTTTTGGTTTAGGATTGTCTTGGCAATGTGGACCCTTTTCTCATTCCATATGGACTTCAAAGTAGTTTTTTCCAAGTCTGTGAAGAAAGTCACTGGTAGCTCCATGAGGGTGGCATTGAATCTATAAATTACCTTGGGCAGTATGGCCATTTTCATGATATTGATTCTTCCTATCCATGAGCATGGAATGTTCTTCCATTTGTTTGTGTCCTCTTTTATTTCCTTGAGCAGTGGTTTGTAGTTCTCCTTGAAGAGGTTCTTCACATCCCTTGTAAGTTGGATTCCTAGGTATTTTATTCTCTTTGAAGCAATTGTGAATGGGAGTTCACTCCTGATTTGGCTCTCTGTTTGTCTGTTATTGGTGTATAAGAATGCTTTTGATTTTTGCACATTGATTTTGTATCCTGAGACTTTGCTGAAGTTGCTTATCAGCTTAAGGAGATTTGGGGCTGAGACAATGGGGTTTTCTAAATATACAGTCATGTCATCTGCAAAGAGGGACAATTTGACTTCCCCTTTTCCTAATTGAATACCCTTTATTTATTTCTCCTGCCTGAGTGTCCTGGCCAGAACTTCCAATACTATGTTGAATAGGAGTGATGAGAGAGGGCATCCCTGTCTTGTGCCAGTTTTCAAAGGGAATGCTTCCAGTTTTTGCCCATTCACTATGATATTGGCTGCGGGTTTCTCATAAATAGCTCCTATTATTTTTAGATATGTCCCATCAATACCTAATTTATTGAGAGTTTTTAGCATGAAGGGCTTCTGAATTTTGTCAAAGGCCTTTTCTGCATCTATTGAGATAAGCATGTGGTTTTTTTTCATTGGTTCTCTTTATATGCTGCATTACATTTATTGATTTGTGTATATTGAACCAGCCTTGCATCCCAGGGATGAAGCCCACTTGATCATGGTGGATAAGCTTTTTGATGTGCTGCTGGATTCGGTTTGCCAGTATTTTATTGAGGATTTTTGCATTGATCTTCATCAGGGATATTGTCTAAAATTCTCTTTTTTTGTTGTGTCTCTGCCAGGCTTTGGTATCAGGATGATGCTGGCCTCATAAAATGAGTTAGGGAGGAGTCCCTCTTTTTCTATTGATTGGAATAGTTTCAGAAGGAATGATACCAGCTCCTCCTTGTACCTCTAGTAGAATTTGGCTGTGAATCCATCTGGTCCTGGACTTTTTTTGGTTGGTAGGCTATTAATTATTGCCTCAATTTCAGAACCTGTTATTGGTCTATTCAGGGATTCAACTTCTTCCTGGTTTAGTCTTGAGAGGGTGTATGCGTCCAGGAATTTATCCATTTCTTCTAGATTTTCTAGTTTATTTGCATAGAGGTGTTTATAGTATTCTCTGATGGTAGTTTGTAATTCTGTGGGATCAGCGGTGATATCCCCTTTGTCATTTTTTATTGCATCTATTTTATTCTCTCTTTTCTTCTTTATTAGTCTTGCTAGCAGTCTATCAATTTTGTTGATCTTTTCAAAAAACCAGGATTTAAAGCAGTGTGTAGAGGGAAATTTATAGCACTAAATGCCCACAAGAGAAAGCAGGAAAGATCTAAAATTGACACCCTAACATCACAATTAAAAGAACTAGAGAAGCAAGAGCAAACACATTCAAAAGCTAGCAGAAGGCAAGAAATAACTGAGATCAGAGTAGAATGACCAAATTTTTAAAAATCTCACAATAACATGTGCTGGGGAGGATGAAGTGCATTTGGAACTTCTCACATTGCTGGTTATGAACTGAATGTTTGTATTACCCAATCCAAATTCATATGATGAAGCCCTAATGCCAATATGGCTGTATTTGGAGATGGTTGGGGCCTCCAAGGAAGAAATTAAGGTTGAATGAATTCATAAGGGTGTTGCCTGATCCAACGGGACTATTATCTCTTAAGAAGAGACACCAGGCAGCTCTCTCTTTCTTTCTCCACTTGTGAGGATACACCTAGAAGGTAGCTGTCTGCAAGCCAGGAAGAGAGCCCTCGTCAGAATCCAAATTGGGCAGAACCTTGAACTTGGACTCCCAGACTTCAGAACTGTGAAAAAAAATAAACTTCTGCTATTTAAGACACCAGTCTGTGGTATACTGTGTTATGGGAGCCTGAGCTGACTAATACATGGTCATGATATAAAATGGTGCAGCCACTTCGGGAAACAGTTTTGGCTGTATCTTACAAAGTAAAATGTACTCTTACCATGTGACCCAATGATTCTACTCTTAGGTGTTTACATCCTAGAGAAATGGAAAAGTTATGCCATATAAAATACCCATGTATGAATGATTATAACAGCTCTATTCATACTGGTTCAAAGTTGGAAATAACCCAAATATCCTTCAAACAATGAATGGATGAACAAACTGGTACATCTGTGCAATGGAATACTACTCAGCAATAAAAAGGAACATGCCATGTATACACCCAACATCACGGATGAATCAAAACGTTAAGCTCTCTAAAAGAAGCCAGTTTCCATATGTTACATACTACTAATATATGATTCCACTTATATGTAAAAAGCATATAAATGCTGAAAAGGTCAAAAGCATAGTAACAGGAAACAGATCAGTACTTGCCAGGGATTAGGGGAGGCTAAGACTACAAAGAGGCCATATGGGAGTGACGGAACTGTTCTGTGTTCTGATTGTGGGGGTAGGTATGGTAATCCATACATGTGATAAAACTCTACACCCCAGATGCATCAATAAATAAGGCAATTTAACTCTATGTTAACTATTGAAATAAATATAATTCCATCGCTAACAATTTGTGGTAGATATTATGGGTACTTAGTAATATCTTAATCTCTTCTCCTTTGGACGTGAAGATAAGACTCCTGTTAGACCATTCTATGTGGCCAATGGGCTGGGAGTGGAAGTGACATGTATTATCTACAAGAAAAAACGTAAAAGAGGTGGGAGAGAGCTCCAGATGTTTGCTACTTACACTGAGAAAGGTTGCATGTTCCAGATGATGCCATTTTAACATCATGGAGCCTCCATCAGCCAGGGTACATGAGTGACTGTAGATCAGAGACATCTCCCCTCCACCCTGCCAATCCATTATACATTTAAAATGAGAGTAGAAAGAACATTTGTTAGATGTAAAGCCAATGAATTGCCTTGCTTAATATAGAAATTATTCATGCAAGTTGACTGCTTCTGTTACAAACACCTAAAACATGTCACATTGGCTTGGCAGTCCTGTGTCAGCAGGAAAAAGAAAAAAGATATCAGAGGCTCCAGTGACAAAACATTAAATTAAAATGATGCCTAATGTATATAACTCATAAAACAGACAGCATACCCAATGTGCTTGTGGCTCTAGAACAGTGATTCTCAAATGTGCAATTTTTGCTACAAAGGGGACATTGGTAATGTCTGGAGATATTTTTGATTGTCACGATTGGGAGGGTGCTAGTGGATAGAGGTTTGAGATGCTGCTAAATTTCCTACAATGCCCGGGATAACCCCTGACAATAAAGAATGTTCCTGCCCAGATGTCAATGTGGTTGAGAGACTCTGGTCTTAAAGAAGACATTGGAAAAAGACATTGCTACTGTCTATATTTGTCAAGATACTGCAAAATAAAGAGAAAAAACTCAACTAAGGAGATTCACAGCCGAATTCTACTAGAGGTACAAAGAGGAACTGGTACCATTCCTTCCAAAACTATTCCAAAAAATAGAAAAAGAGGGACTCCTCCCTAACTCATTTTATGAGGCCAGTATCATCCTAATAGCAAAACATGGCAGAGACACAACAAAAAAAGAAAATTTCAGGCCAATATGCCTGATGAACATGGATGCAAAAATCCTCCATAAAATGCTGTCAAACCGAATCCAGCAGCACATCAAAAAGCTTATCCACAATGATCAAGTTGGCTTCATTCCTGGGATGCAAGGCTGGTTCAAGATACACAAATCAATAAACGTAATCCATCACAGAAACAGAACCAGTGACAAAAACTACATGATTATCTCAATAGATGCAGAAAAGGCCTTTGGTAAAATTCAACACCCCTTCATGCTAAAAACTCTCAATAAGCTAGGTATTGATGGAACGTATCTCAAAATAATAAGAGCTGTTTATGACAAACCCACAGCCAATATCATACTGACTGGGCAAAAGCTGGAAGCATTCCCTTTGAAAACCAGCACAGGACAAGGATGCCCTCTCTCACCACTCCTGTTCAACATAGTGTTGGAAGTTCTGGCCAGGGCAATCAGGCAAAAGAAAGAAATAAAGAGTATTCAAATAGGAAGAGAGGCAAATTGTCTCTGTTTGCAGATGACATGATTGTATATTTAGAAAACCCTATCATCTTAGCCCCAAATCTCCTTAAGCTGATAAGCAACTTCAGCAAAGTCTCAGGATACAAAATCAATATGCAAAAATCACAAACATTCTTTACACCAAAAATAGACAAACAGAGAGCAAAATCATGAGTGAACTCCCATTCACAATTGCTTCAAAGAGAATAAAATACCTGGGAATACAACTTACAAGATGTGAAGAACCTCTTCAAGGAGAACTAGAAACCACTGCTCAAGGAAATCATAGAGGACACAAACAAATGGGAAAAAAATCCATGCTCATGGATAGGAAGAATTAATATTGTGAAAATGGCCATAGTGCCCAAAATAATTTGTAGATTCAATGCTATCCCCATCAAGCTGCCATTGACTTTCTTCACAGAATTAGAAAAAAACTACTTTAAATTTCATATGGAACCAAAAAACAGCCTGTATAGCCAAGACAATCCTAAGCAAAAAGAACAAAGCTGGAGGCATCACACTACCTTACTTCAAAGAAGTATACTACAAGGCTACAGTAACCCAAACAACACGGTTCTGGTACCAAAACAGATATATAGACCAATGGAACAGAACAGAGGCCTCAGAAATAATGCCACACATCTACAACCATCTGATCTTTGACAAACCTGACAAAAACAAGCAATGGGGAAAGGATTCCCTATTGAATAAATGGTGTTACGAAAACTGGCTAGCCATATGCAGAAAACTGAAACTGGACCCTTCCTTACACCTTATACAAAAATTAATTCAAGATGGATTAAAGACTTAAATGTTAGATCGAAAACCATAAAAACCCTAGAAGAAAACCTAGGCAACACCATTCAGGACATAAGCATGGGCAAGGACTTCATAACTAAAACACTAAAAGCAATGGCAACAAAAGCCAAAATCGACAGATGCAATCTAATTAAACTAACGAGCTTCTGCACAGCAAAAGAAACTACTATCAGAGTGAACAGGCAACCTACAGAATGGGAGAAAATTTTTGCAAGTCTATCCATCTGACAAAGGGCAATCAGGCAAGAGAATATCCAGAATCTACAAGGAACTTAAACAAATTTACAAGAAAAAAAAAAAAAAAAAAAACAACCCCATCAAAAAGTGGGTAAAGGATATGAACGGACACTTGTCAAAAGAAGACATTTATGCAGCCAATAAACATATGAAAAAAAAAAAACTCATCATCACTGGTCATTAGAGAAATGCAAATGAAAACCACAATGAGATACCTTCTCACACCAGTTAGAATGGTGATCGTTAAAAAGTCAGGAAACAACAGATGCTGGAGAGGATGTGGAGAAATAGGAACACTTTTACACTGTTGGTGGGAGTGTAAATTAGTTCAACCATTGTGGAAGACAGTGTGGCAATTCCTCAAGGATCTAGAACTAGAAATACCATTTGACCCAGCAATCCCATTAGTGGGTATATACCCAAAGGATTATAAATCATTTTACTATAAAGACACATGCCCACGTATGTTTATTGCAGCAGTGTTCACAATAGCAAAGACTTGGAACCAACCCAAGTGACCATCAGTGATAGACTGGATAAAGAAAATGTGGCACATATACACCATGGAATACTATGCAGCCATAAAAAGGGATGAGTTCATGTCATTTGCATGGACACGGATGAAGCTGGAAACCATCATTCTCAGCAAACTAACACAGGAACAGAAAACCAAACACTTCATGTTCTCACTTATAAGTGGGAGTTGAACAATGAGAACACATGAACACAGAGAGGGTAATATCACACACTGGGGCCTGTTGGGGGGTGGTGAGGGGCTAGGGGAGGGATAGCATTACGAGAAATACCTAATGTAGATGACAGGTTGATGGGTACACCAAACCACCATGGCACGCGTCTACCTCTGTAACCTGCATGTTCTGCACGTGTATCCTAGAACTTAAATTATAATAATAATTTTTAAAAGACGAAAAAAAATGACCAAAGAGAAAGATTCCAGCAATCAAGATTTTTCAATACTGGAAGGCCAATTGCTTTGAAAGCCCAAACAGAAAGAGACAAAATTGAGAAAGATCCATTAAAACAAACCTCTTGATGCATAAATAAGCCACAGTTAAAAAATAATCAGACTGTGCATATAGCCCCCAGTAAAACCTGACAGTGGGTAAAGAGGCTCTTGGAAAAGATAAAATTAAGGGCATAGCTTTCCTCCAGAAGGGCACTATCTATTATTAAAAGAGAGAAAGCAAAAATATGTAACAAATCTGTGAAATAGTCTCAAAAAGAACTGTGGTTGTAATTTCTGGAATTTGGAAACGACTAGAATAAAAATAGATTATGTAGTAAAACTTGTGAGATTTGTAGTGCCAGAGAAGTTAAAGCTTAGACATCCCTACCAACAAAAAGATCCTATGACCTGTTGAATATTTAAAATAACCCTTAGGTTCTCAAAACTTCCTTGAGCAGGAAGTAGACAAAAAGTTCTACAGCCCCCAAGGCGTGCATATTACCCAATGCCAACTTCTAAAACTTCTGAAGTGGCCAGGAAGAATAAGAGCAAATAAACTACCAAGAATGCAAAGCTGGGGACTATAAAGTTTGAGAAATAAAGGAGCTCTTCCCAGAGATTAGAATCTGTGCCAAATCATGAAATATTCCCATTCCTGGATATACCCTAGACTGAGAATGACTGTTTGTTATTTTGGTTAACAGAGATTTTGAGAATTTCTTTTAAATGCATTATTATTACAGCAAAAACCAACATTTCCTCACCACCACCCCCAATCCTGCCACCCCGCAGTGCCTGTGCAATAGGATTTCAGAGTTGTACAGTGCAGTGATTGCTATGTCATCACTTGCTTGTAAAGCTAAAGCTTACAAGTACTTTTTTTTTATTCACAAAATAACAGGAAGAGAAAATTCATGGTGCATGCCACTATTCACCAGTTCAGTATATGTCCACAATTTAACTTTTAGGTGAAATCCAATATTTACCAGTGAAGCCCTGCCAATAGAAGAGTTTAGTACTTCCACTCTTTCACTTTTATCTTTCTCAAGTCAGGGGAGTTGGCCATGAGGGGAAACTGACAATCAGCCCCCTTTCTGGAAGATATTAGTTTCTACTGGGGTGGTGTGGAAAAAAAAAACTGTTAATCTTTCTACTGCTGCATCTGGGGCTGTTTATTAGTTTCATTTTGATAGATGGAGAGAAGATGAACAAATCACAAGATTTATTTTTCAGGGCATATTTGATAGAATCAGAGACCTTTTACCCTTCTATGTACTGTCTAAAAAAGTGAAATCAACCCAATGTGATATGATTTGATTTCCCCAGACTTTGTTAAGGAAGCTAGGTTTGATAGATAAAACTGCATCTGGCTGTTTTTTTCTTTTTTGAAACACAAGCCTAAGACAAATTCATAGATCAAAGCCTACATGAAATATAATGTATCTGGTTTTTCTTTATAAAAGATTTTCTGTTATGGTATAAATAATGTATACAGTCAGTGTGAAATGCATAAAATCTTGACAAGTTAACAAAGCAGCATCCTTGAAAAATTTATCCAGTTTCCAAAATGCACTCATAGAGAATAGCTACCCACTGTTAAAAATGGAAAAAACAAGTAACAAAGACATATTTGGAAAACATTTCTCCAAACTGCCTTTTTGCTGTCCTTGTGTTCCAAAATCAGAGAGTTGGGATTAAAGAACTCTCTCTCTACCTATCACCTAATAACTGCTTCTCATTCGAAAACTTGATAAAATTGGTAGCTACATGAGTGGGGAATTAAGTGGATAGGGAACAGAGTGGGTGGATAACTTTTTCCCTATCTCCTTGTATCTTTAGAGTTTTGAACTATGTAAATATATTATCTAAACAAAAATTAACATACAAATTTTTTTAAATAAAATAAAAGCCAACCAAATCTTATCTGATGTTATTCAGCAGGGCATTAGGTATAAGCCTGATGCACAGCATCAGGTATAAGCCTCTGGACTTTTTAGATCATTTCACACTTGCCATAGTCCTCCTGGCTGAGACCTTCTCTGGATGAGCAATTTCAGGAATGAAACTAGGTGAGAGTGTGAGCTTCACGGTCTGCAGACTATCACTGCTTTCCTTGCCATGCCATCTCTCCTTTCTCACTCTTCTCTCCTCCCCCAATTCTTCTCTCTTCTCATCTCCATGTGTTCTATAACACTAATCATTCACTTATTGGATGCTTACTATATACCTGACACCATTTTAAATGCTTTGTATTAAATACTTTAAACCTCATATAACAGTAACCCTAGGAAAAAGAGTACTATCATTAAGTATTACCATTCACAGATAAGGACACTAAGTTCAGGGAACTTAAGTCACTTGCCCAAGGTCACACAACTAGCAAATTACAAAACCAGAATTTAATATCAAGTCCTCTGCTCAGAATGTCTGCACGCAAGCATTTGCAATGCTGCCTAGTGAAAGTTAATCTTATCAATGGGTTCTTTTATTCACAAAAAGTATATTTAGTGGATACACTTCTCCAGGGAGAAGTAAGTAGGTGTCTTTTCTTTTATTAGTATTTGTTCCATTGGACCCCAAAAGAATCTTCCAGGATAATTTATATTCCCTTTTTCAAACTTCAAGACTTGAGAATGAAAATTTGAACGGCAAGGCTAGTGCAAACAGAGGCAGGATAGATAGAAGTTAGGGCGGGTGGAGGAGTTTGGAAAATGAGTCCTATTCAATTACTTGGATGTGCTGTCTCACTGGGGAGAAGTTTAGAAGGGTAGATGTCAAATCAATGAGAAAAATGAACCACTTGACTGCCTCAAAATTGGGCTGCCTTAAGGGATAGTGAGTTCCCTTTCAAGGAGGAAGGTGAGCAGGTGCTGGATCGGTTGACAGGAATGTTGTTAAGGAAACTTATGGCACAAATGTTGGAAAAAATAGCCCTGAAACTAATTGCACTTTGGGATTTAGAAATAATTCTACATTTCTTATAAAATATTTTGTCTCTTTAGAATCTTCTCAATCTGTTTTCTCATTATAATCAGTGGTCCTAATCTAGTCTGAGACTAATATCTCTACTAAACTGAGTGATTAATTAGGTACAGGAATCTTTAACGTAAGTCCCCTCTTTTGTAATTCTCAAAATACTGGGATACTATTCAGAGGTTGTCCGTGCTCTACACATTTACTGATGTATTATAACTGGATTCAATTATCTTTGTGTTTCAAAGAGACATTACTTCACCATTCTAAAATAGTATTTATGGATTTAAAATAATTAATAGCTCCCCATTATATATGGCCACCAAATACTTTAGTTGTGCAAATCAGATTTAAATCACAATTGTTGCATATAATCAGATGAAACATGAAAAGAAACATTTAACTAACAGGTTCTAAAAGAGTATTTTAAACTGTATTAAGTTTTAAAAATGTATTAACTATCATTACAAAATTGTACTATAAATCCTTAATTACTTCAAAGGAATGAAGATTTTAAAACTTACCAAGGAGCTGCAACTACCTATCAAATTAATATTTTTGCTTCAGTTGAATGAAGAAACAAAAAGGAAAGAACTTCTCCCCTTTTAATGAAAGATTCATACTTAATAGCATGAATATAATATAGGCACATTGTTTGTAGACTTTTTTATCTTTGTTATATTTTGTTATTTTGATTTGTCAGCACCTAATATATATTTGCTGTCATATAATCAAAATTATTTCAATTATATCTAAGAAATGCTATTATATAAATTACTGGAAAGTGGCCTAAATTACAGTGTACAATTAGGTCTTTCAGTTTCCAAAATAATTCCTTTAAAGCAAGAATCCTTTAAAGATCAAAGGATTTTTGATCCTATTTCCCTTATAGTAGGATTCCAGCTACTTTCCATTTATAGCCAACTTTTCCAGGACTATCATATAAGACTAAAGATATTAGTAGCTTTGGTGCTTAAGTTGTTGTAATTATCTAATGGAGTTTCTTTCCTATTTCTATTTCTACGCTGAATCTTTTGATTTTGTCAAAATTGACTCCATATTGCAATATCTTAATTTCAAACTTGCTGCCAAAGCTGAATCAACTAGATGGCCTACATTATCAGAATTTACTCCTGTGAAAGGAGAAAGCTATCTTTCCTTACCTCTTTCATCACCAGTATAACTTGATTCATATTCATTTGAACACTCTGAGAAGGATGTCACCGTTGTGTAAACCAGCTGCCTATCAATGGAGGCCTAATCTGTTTTTCAGCTTCTTTTGGAGAGAATGGAAGACTAACAGGAGTAAAATAAATATGACTTGAATACTGAAAATAGAGTTTGCACAGAGATATTACCAACAAAGTGTTCTTTTAATGCAAGATCATTACAAAAATTCTTCAAAAAACCCAAACTTGGACTATTTACTTTATATTCATCTACTGCAATATTTTACATTTAAAAGGCTCTCTACATATGTATTGTTATGTGTTGATCCATCTTTTCTTTAGGTAAAAAATTGTCAGGTTAACTTTTTAAAGCAACGTGAAAACTGTTGGAAAGCATATGTTTCAATTAAACATGACTCAGAGTAGAATTTTACAGCCGTGAGTACCAGGGCCATTAAGCATTTTATGTTTCCTTTGCTCATTATCCTATAATTCATTATCCTAGTTGTATGTGCAAATTACTGATACTGGTTAAAATATTTACTTCTTTATTCATTGATAATTTAATTCTCCTCTAACTTTAATGTGGATACAGATATACATAATATATAGATTATATATAGTATTTTCCCCTTATCTGTGGAGATATATTTTAAGATCTCCAGTAGATGCTTGAAATCACAGCTAATACCTACATATACTGTTTTTAGAAACCTACATATACTGTTTTTATCTATACATACGTATCTATGATTAACTTTAATTTATAAATTAGGTACAATAAGAGATTAGCAACAATAATAACAAAATAGAACAATCATCATAGTACACTGTAATAAAGGTTATGTGACTGTAGTTTCTCTCTCTCTCTCTCTCTCTGGTTCTTCCAAAATATCTTACTGTGCTGTACTTACCTTTCTTCTTGTGATCTGTTGATATAATAACCAACATGACTGCTACATAACTAAGGGATGGGTAGGACAGACAGTGTTGGGTAGTGGATAGGACAGACAGTGTTGACACATGGGACAAAGGGATGATTTACATCCTGTACGTCTGCCCAGGACATAAATCGTCCTTCCGTTCAGTGTATCCCACAAAGTGGGACAGCATAAGATTTTATCACACTACTCAGAAGTCACAATAAAAAACTCTCAGAGTCTCTAAGAGTCTCCATGACATGGAGTCAGAAGAGTCCTGGTTGACAGATATTTAAAGGCTGTGAAATTAATCTTGAAAGACAGATTTATAGAAATATTGAGCTCAACTTTATTCTAGCTGAATCAAAATTACATATGTTACTTGATGTATTTCAAATAGGGTTGTAGCTGAGCATCCACCCCCAATGTAAAATGCCACCTCCAGCAACACTTACGTAGAGCCTTGACCTAAGCATAGGCTCCCCTCATTGCCTCTCACTTCTCACTTTTTGAATTCCTATTCTCTTCATAGCTACTCTTCTTTTATTCTGTAATTTCTTCATTATTTATTAATTTGTTATTTATTTATAAATTTATAAATTTATTATTTATTCAGCTAATAGACATTTTTTAAACACCTGCTTTGTGCTCAGCATGATACAGGACATGATCATGAGAATGAATAGCTGATGAAGGGAGAAGGTGAAAGTCTTTGATAATCAAGAAGCTCAAAATGCTGAATTTATAGAATAAATAAAGAATAAAGCAGCACCGTTCAAAATATGGACCACATATTGGTGCAATGCAAGATCAGTACAGAATTTGAAAGTAAGCTCCTAGAAACTTTTATAGCACTTTGACATGCTCCAATATCCAAGTGTGTGTGACCAATGCACTCATCTTGTTAAATAGGATATGGATCAGTTTGGTGTGGTTGAATTCACATGGTTAGCTGCCTGTGATATGAGCTATGTGCCAGTCATGCATGGTAAGACAGCACGTCAATGATACTTCAGTGATACTTCAGAAGAAAGTTTAAGAATCACTGGCTTACAAGCAATACAAAACAACCCTCAGGCTGCAAAATCTCTTTTGCTTTCAACTAATCCACGTTCCCTAATGACTTTCAACAACTGATCTGATGTTTGAGATGCAGAGAAAGAGAATAGACTACATAAAAGGCAAGACACCAACCATTTTTGCCATTTTACCAACAATTAATTTCAGGTGAGATACCATAGCATTCTAGATCTACTATAATCCCACTTACTAGAAAAAGTGACTACATAGTAATAACCAAGAATAGAAATCTACTTTGGATCCAGTGTGTTTTAGATATACTCTATGTCTATGAATGTGCTTATTTTGATGTTTATTCATCAAACAAACCCTAATAAGGAAATTTTTTCTCCTCCTCATAGTTTGAAGTCAAAAGTTTCATCTATAAATTGTTATTAGGGCATTCTTTGTTCAATAATCACAAGAATTAACTACTAATAGTGGGTATTTGTCAGTCTTTTTTTTCTGAGGGATGGGGTTTATATATAGCTATGGTTTGGATGAGATTTGTCCCCATCAAAACTTATGTTAAATTTTGATCCCCTATGTGGCAGTGTTAGGACATGGGGCCTAGTGGGAAGTGTTTGAGTCATGGGGGAAAAAGCCCTCATGAATAGATTAATGCCATCTCTCAGGAGTGAGTCCTTACTCTTGTGGACTGGATTAGTTACCAAAAAAGCAGGTTGTTTCTTCTTGCCTTTGGTCTCTTTGCACACATCATGAGTTGAAACAGCACAAGACCCTCATCAGATGGGCTTCCTGGTCTTGAACTTTCCAGGCACCAGAATCATGAGCCAAATATACCTTTTTTCTTTATGAATTAACCTGCCATGGGTATTTTGTTATAGCAACACTAAACAGATTGACATAAATATCTTTTGTCTATAAAGGTAAAAATTCTCAAAGTTATCACTTAGTCCTCCTGTTCTTTAACGATTCTGAACACAAATACACACAAATGTAGAAAGTATATGTTGTTCAATATGCTTCCTATGTAAAATTCCTGAGATTAAATAGAAGTTATATTTTCTTTCAATCATCAAAACTGTTGCAGGCATGCTATATGCCAGTTGCTATAGAAGGCATTTGGGGGAAATGTAGAAATGACGTTGTTCCTATTCCACAAAAGCTCAATGGTCTCATGTGGGAGACAGACACATATAAATAATGACAATCAAACATGACACTATGATGGAGGTGCACACAAAATGCTATCTATAAGCAGTCCTTGCTTTGCACAATAGTGTAGGGCCATGAAAATGACTGCATGCTGAAATTATGAAAAACAATCTTAATAATCAAAACAAAACAAAACAAAAACTACAATTTTTCTATGAGCTTTACATTTTTTCTCAAAACATTAAAACTGTCTTACTGTTAGTTCTAAACAAACAAGAGAATGAAAAATGGTAAAATCAATATTTCTTTAGTCCACTGAAATTTTAAATATTGGAAACTTTGAGAATTAAAGTGTCTCATATTATTGTAAAAAAAAACCTTAAGAGTAGTTTGAACACTGTTTTCTGTCTTCTCATTTCCTTCTTCTCATCACATTCCCTTCTAAGGGAAATCAGCTTCCAACACTTAACCTTTTATGCTTTCAGAGTCAAGAAATATCCCAAGAATTTTTTAATGTGAAGTTTTTTTGCCAATGTCACACTTCTACTGGGACATCTTCATCCTTTCATCACAACCACTTTCCTCATTTATGTCAATAAATTCACCTTCACTAAGTTTCTCTGGCTGCACATCTGGAGTCTTTCAAACAGTGGCAGTATCAACATTCCTACAGGCAACTATTTCTCCTATAACTCCATTTATGTCCAATTCAAATTTCACTTTTAGCATTATGAGTTTTCTTTTTTTGCTACACTTTCATCATTGTTGACCAATTTTCTCTTTCAATTATCTTTATTTCTAAAATATCACATGGGGCTATCATTGGGAAGCAACACAACTTGCTGTCTGTGCATGAACTGAGTAACAGATGCGTAAGGACCAATTACCAACATATTTTGAAGGAAGCAATATGATTGGTCACCAGTCATGATGTGCATATATTATTTCAGTAGTGATTTTTGCACTGAAGAGCTAGCAGCAAAGTTTGTGCTTTATATGATTATTATAGTTAATATACCCTTGTAACTAAATTTTGAATTGAGTTGCTGGATGACTGGTGTCATGTAACTAAACCATAGTAACTGAATTCACACATAGTGAAATGTTGAAAGTCAAGGACTGCCTGTATATAAAGAAATGAAAATATTAAAAAATGAATAAGTAGATGTATGGCACAATGAGGGATGGCCAGTTAGCCTAGCTGAAACCAATGCTGCAGGAGGAAAATGGGGTCATGCAGAAAATGTAGAGATAAGGCTTGAGAAATAGTTTCAGACAAGATTGTGAATGTTCTTTAGAATAAAATTACCATGTAACCATTGCTGCCCTGCCTAGAAAGAAATTACTCTTACTTTATCCATATCTTATCTAGTTCTTTCCCCATTCTCACCAAAGGTTACTGATATGGTTTGGCTGTGTCCCCACCCAAATCTTATCTTGAATTCCCACACGTTGTGACAGGCACCCAGTGGGAGGTAATTGAATCACAGAGACAGGTCTTTCTTATGCTGTTCTCATGATAATAAGTCTCATGAGATTTGACAGTATTATAAGGTGGAGTTTCCCTGAACGAGCCCTCTGTCTCTTTTCCTGTCACCATCCACATAAGATGTGACTTGTCCCTCCTTGCCTTCTGCCATGATTGTGAGGACTCCCCAGCCATGTGGAACTGTAAGTCCATAAAACCTCTTTCTTTTGTAAATTGCCCAGTCTTGGGTATGTCTTTATCAGCAGCGTGAAAATGGACTAATAGTTACCCAGGTATTAAAACTGCTGTCCCTGTGTATGATGGTTAATTTCACATGTCAACTTGACTGAGCCATAGGATGCCCAGATAGCTTCTTAAACATAATTTCTGGAAGTGTCTGTAAGAGTGTTTCTGGAAGAGATTCACATTTTCATTGGTAGACTAAAGCAGATTGTCCTCTCTAATGTAGATAGCCACCACCCAATCTGATGAAGATCTGAATAGAAGAAAAAGATGGAAGAAGGTTGAATTTACTCCCTGCCTGTCTGCTTAAGCTAGAACATCAATCCTCTTCTGCCCTTGGTGCTCCTAGTTGTCAGGCCTTCAGACACAGACTGGAATCTATACCATTGGTTCTCTGGCTTGAGAGTTTCAAGCTCCATCACTAGCTTTCCTGGGTCACCAGCTTGCAGAGAGCAGACTGTGGAACATCTAAGCCTCCATATGCATGTAATCCAATACCTCATGATAAATCTCTTCATACATAATACACACACACAAACACACACACACACACACACACACATACAGATCTGTCTCTCTAGAGAACCTTGACTAATGTAATAAGTCACCCTTTATCTTCCATTGTTTTAATGTGGTCTTCCTGTTGAATCCTAGAATGCTGGCTAACATTCATTCCTCAGTGCCAGCTTGCATGCAGCTTCCTCTTTGCAGACAGCTAGAAATGGCTGCAGGAGCCAACTCTGAGCTGCGCCAACACTTTGGTTATTGAAACTTCATTGTTTCTTCCCCCACGTAATGTAATGAAAATCACAGACCCTGGCAGTAAATGCGGTCATCTACATCTGACTCTGGACATATAGTAGAACAGTAAAAAGCCCAGTGGATTCAGTCAAGTTGTGTTTCAGTTCTTATTCTATCAATAACTTGCCTTGAGAAACTCCTTTCACTTCTCTTGGTCCCAGTGCTAAAAGGAACTCATATCTCTTAGATCTCTTACTTCTCTAAAGGCTAAATGACTACCTCTGTTTTTCATATGTTTTATCAAAAAGTATGCTTCATTTATAGGGATGCAACATAGGTGAAAAAGAAAGTTTAAAATGCCAAATGGTATACCTGCTCATGAGAATTGAAGAAAGCTCATGTGACATCCAGTTTCAGGAATAATGACTGTTTCTCCAAAACAATCTTGAAGTAGTTTTCCTTTTCCCAACAACTACCAAGTAGCTAAGTCTAGTGATATATATAGTAGTAAAGTTATCCATGAGTTCTTGATTGGTGGTAACCTTTAGTAATTCCGTAGCAATATGATACAATAGCAGCTTCCCACTACAGACTCTGATTCAGATAAAGGAATTATGGTATTTCCACAGAAGAGAACATAGTATTTGGTCCCCTAAAATTTTATTGCACTTGGTGTTAAATGGTTTAACTGTGATGCAAATACAACATTCACGTACTAAAATATATATAGTCTCAGCTAAAGGACAGAGAAAAAGAAACAGTCATGATTTAAGATAAAAAATAAGGCTTGAAGTTTTCAGAAGAAAATGAGAGGAGAAAGTCAAGTAAGTATGGGAAAAATGTGGAACAAAAATAAAGTTAACTTGAAGAATTTGCAAGAGATAGGGAAATTAAAAGCGGAAGTAGTGATGTGTGACTGAGATAGGCACTCAAAAGCTACCCGTCTGCTTTGCACTCTTTGTAGGTCTTTATGTTAGGTACCAAGATTGGAACCCTAAAAACAGAACACACAGGGCAATATCCTTGATTATATCTGAATACATATATAATGCACCTTGAAAATACAAGGGAAAGAGGTGTTTGAAACAAGCAACTTGAGTTGGATGGGTTTAGTAATCCCACATAGTGGGATAATAATAGTCATAGAACCAGAGAGACTTCTCTCTTCAAGAGCAATACTTGATTTGAGGAATTTCTCTATAATACACCATTAAAGATAGAACTTAAAGTTTGCTCATTTCCTTTTATGGTATTTCTTTTAAGCTTAAGTCTAAATACTGCTCTTCTGTTCTTCACTGGAAAGGTAGAGTCCTTGAAAATAAGATTGAGTGCCTCAGACAGCAGGAAGTAAAAGAACCACACCTCCAAATAATGTTCCACTGCATTTTTAAAATGAATTACCCTAATGCCACTATCTTTTTTTCCCTATGATCTAAGTAATAGTGGCATCTGAATTTCTCAGTTAAAATTGGCTGCACAAAATAGGGAAAGATAAACTAGAGGTCATTGTTGTTTTTATTTAACAGATTTTAATAAATAAATAAATTTTGAAATAAGGCAATTGGAAGGTTTGGCAGATTCACAAATTGGCAGTGATATTTACATTGCTTATATTCAGAATTTTTAAAAAATTGCTCCCATCTCAACAGCCTCTTGCTATTAGCATAGAAAAAAGAATAGGCAGTACCCTGGAAATCTATTAGAATTATAAAAATGCACTTATTGCAAAACTTCTGGGTGTATGCACAAAATAAACATGTAATCTTACTTCTGAGAAACTATTTTATGAATCCTCTCAATGCATTAGAATCTCTCAAGTGGCCTGAATGAGGCCTGCTAAGAGGATCATTATTGCCTCAGACCCCACAAAGGCGATTTTTTACAAGGAAAGGATAAGAAGAGATTTTCCAACCTTTAGATGCTCCACAGAAGAGACTCAACCTCTGTTTTGAGAAATAGATATTTATGACATAATAGGAAATATATATTTGGTCTCTTCCCTCAGTTCCGGATACAGAGCTCCTAAAATCCTTGTAATTTCCTGAGTGATGGGGTGCTAAGAGCATCTTTTGTTCTAATATTTGGTCTTTGACCCTGATTCCAGACACAGGAGCTTTTAAAACCTTAGGAATCTCCAAAGTGACGAATGTCCTTTGTACGCTAATGAAATGACTAGATAACATCCCTAGATAGCTTCAGGATGGCAGCCAGTCACTAGAAAAAACAAAGCATGATTGCAGGGTTAGATCTTTCAGCTTAACCCAACCAATGAAAAGGGGCTAGAGATTCAATGGCCAATGATGTAATCAGTCATGCCCACATAATGAAACCTTATTAAAAACTTTAGACAGTGGAACTCAGAAAGCTTCTAGGTTGACGAGCACATTGGGACGCTGAGAGGGGGGACTACCCAGATTGGATATGGAAGTTCCACACCCCTTCCCTATACTTTGCACTATTTATCTCTTTGTCTGTTCATTTGTATCCTTTATGATATTCTTTAAAATAAACTAGTAAACATAAGTAAAGTGTTTCCCTGAATTCTGTGACCCTTTATAGCAAATTATTGAATAAGAAGAGGGGCTTGTAAGAACCCCTGATTTGTAGACAAGTAAGATAGAAGTGTGGATAACACGGGGATCCACTAACTGAGATTGATATCTGAACTGGGGGGACAGTCTTATGGGCCTGATTCCTTCATCTCAGGGGTCTGCACTAATTTCAGGCAATTGGTATTAGAATTGAATTAAACTATAGGACACCCTCTTCGTGTCCACAGAGAACCGGAGAATTGCTTAGTTTGGAAAACCCACATGTCTTGTGTCAGAAGTGCAGTGAGTAGAAAAACAGTTTTTTCTTTTAATTTTCCATAAAAGAGACCATGAGTTGCAAAAAGCTGCCTTGAAATCAGAGTATATCACACAAGCTATGGCTGGTGTCTACATTTTGTATCCCTAATTTTACCATGCAGTTAAAAACGTCAGGTCACTCAGAAGTGCTATAATTTGTTGCTGAAAGAGATGATGATTTTTGCATTTTGAGATCATTTCTGTTGAACCCATGGCAATTATAATAATTAATCAGTATTTGGGTTACAAAATCCTCATTTCAACTCCACTAGATAGGTTTACTTGGACTAAGAAAAAAAAAAAGGCAGGTAGAAAAGTGCAGTTTTTCCTTGATATCCATGGGAGATTGATTCCAGGACCCCTTACCCCCACCCTGCAGGATACCAAAATCCAAGGATGCTCAAGTCCCTTATATAAAATGGTATCGTATTTGTATATAACCTGTGTACCTCCTTTCATATTCTTTAAATCATCTCTAGATTACTTATAATACCTAATATTATGTAAATAGTTGTTATACTATATTGCTTTTTATTTGTATTATTTATTGTTGTGAGTTTTTTCCATATATTTTTATCTGCAGTTGGTTGAATCCATGGATGCAGAACCCACAGATACAGAGGGCCAACTATAGTAGATTGGAAAAAGTCATTAAGGAAGGACAAATTTCACTCACTCATAGGAGATTAATAGAATGTCATGGAGTCATTGACTTTTTTCACCTTCATGAATCCTTCACTTGCTAGGCAGATATCCTTTTAACACTTTTTTATTGTTTGTTAATTAAGTCTGCTTCAAGATTTTCTGTAACTTGTTTTACCTCCTTAGAATTCTCACACAAATTTTATTTTGCAAAAATTACCACTTTTTTGAAATTAAAAGATATATGTTACTTTAAAATATAACATTGCATGTCTTTTCCAAACACTGCATCCAAAACAAAAGTAAAGAAAGGGCTTATCCTAGAAATTATTTTAATCTCATTTGCTTTTCCTTAAATTTGCTTCCTCATTTCAGTTCTGGTATATTATTTTCATTATAATTATTGCTTCTTTGACATTCAAATAATATCATGTCATGAATGTCATTTTTCTTACTTGGATTTATGAAATTCCTTAAGAGTTTAAACTGTGCCTTCTAATTATTTTGTCTGGCATGTAACCATAAGATAGTAGAATTGATGTTTTTAATTGCATTAAAGTATAATCTCTATGTATAAATGTACGCAAATTGTATTTGCACAGTGTTCTGAATTCTAACAAATTAAATACATCCAGGTAACCACCGATCAGATCAAGAAACAGAACACCCAGAAGCTTTTTTCCTCATCCTTCCAGTAACTTCTCCACCTCAACCAGGAGTAAACACCATCTTGACTTCCTACATTACAGATTAGTTTTGCCTGATTTTGAACCTGAAATAAATAATAGTATACACTATGGACTCTGTGTCTGGCTTTTTAAATTTGTTTATTTGTCTCTCATCATATTTGTGAGAGTTATCCATGTAGTGGCATACAGTTTCTGTTTATTAATTCTCATCTCCATAGAGCATCCTGTTGAGGGAATTAATTAATAATAAATAAATTAATAATTACTAATAAACAATTTATTTATCTCTTCCACTGTTGGTAGACATTTGACAAGTTCTGCTTTTGGCCATTTTAAATATTGCCAACATGAACATCTTTGTACATATATTTTGGTGAAAATAGGTACTCATTTTAATGGTATATATATACCTAGGTAATGACACTTCAGAGTCATGGGACATGCATATTTTCAGCTTAATAGATTCTGCCAAAGGCTTTCCAAAGTGGTTGTATCACTCTACATCCTGACAGCAGTACATGAAAGTTCAGGTTGCTCCACATCCTTGTAAACACTTGGATTTATCTGTCATTTGCTTTGTAACCATTCTCTGTGAGTGTGAGTGTGAATGTGAATGTGAATGTGTGTGTATGTCTAGTGGTGTAGCATTGTGCTTTTAATTTGCATTTCCCTCATGAATTTTTCCCAAAGTTCAGCACCTTTTCATATATTCATTGGTATTTTATATATTTATTATTATATCATATGTTTATTGGCCATTTTGATATTTTCTTTTGTGATGTACCTTAAAAACTTTTGCCTATTTTTCTGTTCAGATGTTTACCTCTTATTGATTAATAGGTATTTGTGTAGTCTAGATTTAGTCTTTTTCAGACATATGAATTAGAAATGTCATATCCCATGGTAAGCCTGCCTTCTCATTCTCTTAAGGGTGTTTTTTAATAAAATGAATTTCATAATGTTAATATCATTAAATTTATCCATTTTGCTTTTAAAACTAGTGCATTTTGTATTCTATTTAATAAATTTTTACCTACTTCAAGGTTACAAAGAAATGCGCCTACAATTTCTTTTAAAAGTCTTATTATTTTTACCCTTTAAAGTTAGATGTCTAATTGATTTTTGGAATTGATTTTTGTGTATGGTGTGAGGTCAAAATTAATTTTTTCCATGTGGATATCAATTGACCTGGAATCATTTATTAAAAAGGCTTTCCACTATACTACAGTGTCATCTTTGATATAAATCTGGTGATGGTGTATGCATGGAATATTTTGGAGGGGAGAGGATAGGTTTAGTTGCCTATCATTGAGCCAATAACAACTATCTAGAAGAGCTTTCGATGGGTCTTAATAGCTGGGAGTGTAAGTCCTCTTAGTTTTTTGAATTCAAACTGATTTAGCTAACTTTTGCCTTTGCATTTCCATATAAATGTTTAAGTATGGTCATTTTCCACAAACAACTTGCTGAGGATTTAATAGAGATTGTGATGAATCTATACAACAATTTGTAAAGGATTGACATCTAAATAATTTTGAGTCTTCCAATCCATTAACAAGATATATCTACTTATTTTATTTCTCCTTAATAACTCTAATAACATTATTTTCAGTGTAGAAGTCTTAAATATCTTTCTTAGATTCATTGCTAGATATTTGATTCCTCTGATGCTACTGTGAATGGTATTTTTTAATTTTTAATTTATTATTTGTTACTGTAATAGAAAAATAAAATTTATTTCTTATATTGACTTTTAATTCAGTAATGTTGCTAAGTTCTAATAGTTTACTTGTAAATTCTTTTGGATTTTCTACATGTACAATTATGTTGTCTATCAGGAAAAAAAAGACAGCCTTACAGTCCTATTTCTCAATTATTTTGAAAAATAATTTAGGAGGGGCAAGGGGTTCATTTGTTTGCTTGCCTTATTGGGTAGCACCTTCAATACAATATAATAGTGGGTAGAACTGGGTAGAACCTTCAATACAATATAATAGTGGGTAGAGCTGGGTAGAACCTTCAATACAATATAATAGTGATTATCTTTGGCTGTTCTCAAGCTGAGGGAAAAGCTTTGGATGTTTTGCCATTAATTATCATGCTAGTAGTAGTTTTTAAATATTTTAAAGCAAATATTAGATTATTTGTATACAACCAAATGTATTGGGGCTTGCTACCAGAACTTTGTTAACTTTATTATATGTAACTTTAGAACTTTCATATGAAGGCCTTGTTTAAATCTCAAAATGAATGTAACTACATTTGTTATTGTTGGTTTTTTGCCCCTTGTGCTTTCCGTAATTTCTCTCTAAAACTCTTCAGTTGCAGGTCTTACAATAAATAAGAAGTGACAATTAATTACAAATCAACTCTCAATCCTCTTCTTCCCTGTGTTTAAACCCACAGTTGCAACACTACTTTAATACAGCTTACTATAGTTCCCTCCTTTTAATTTTTAAATGCTGAGATTCCAATATAAGCTTCTCTCTTCTGTTACATAAAGTCTAGTTATCAACTGTGGTCACCTTGTACTTTGAAAATAAAAACTATTAATACTATTAGTTAGGTCCCTTATTTTGGTAAACACCACACTTCCAACTCCAAGACAGTTTTCAACTGCCATGCTGTGTTTTGGAAGTCCTGAGGTGCCTGAGAATTCCTGGGGGTTTAACCTAGTTAATTCTAATGACCATTTTTTATTATCAGTGAACTCTCAGTCTAACGTTATTGTTACCTATGACAGAGATTGCTCATTGTTCCCTGGTATCCATTTCCTCTCTTATTATTTGAACCAGGATCCCCCTTCTATCACTTCAGCAAGATACACCATTGGTCAGACTGAGATTACGTTTCCCAGACTCTTTTGCAGCCAGGTCTGACCAATCTGATCGATTTCTGGCCAGTGATAGTTGAGAGCGAATGATGCTTGGAACTTCTAAATCATGTCCTTCAAAAAGGAAGCAGTTTGCCTTTATGCTCTTTTTCTTACTTCTTGCTTGCTAAAAAATGGTGACAAGGAAATAGTTTACTTGGACCCAGAAATGCTTGCTAACTTGGGTCCCCTGTGACCTTGTGCAGAATTGCCTGCCTTACTTGAACTGGCAACCAAACTATAGAATGTAAGATCAGAGAAAATTGAACTTTTTTTTATTAAACCCACTGTATTTAGGTATTCTTTGTTACGGAAATTTAGCTTATATTCTGTATCATTCTATATTATTCAGTACTCAAATCTGTTCTTTTTCTCTCTGCCTCACACTGGTTAAGGCATGGAACAAAGTTTCTTTACCTTGATTTTGTAAAAATGCTGCTCACATCAGGAAGTGGTAGAAGTTTATTGAAGATTTGGGAATAGCACTAAAGATATAGTAACATTAGACACAGAACAGCTCTGCAGAGAGAGCCTAATACAGAATATTAGAAGTCACTCTCCATAAAAAAGTATTCAAGTCATACCTCCTGTGATTGGTTAAATTGTGTCCCCACAAAATATATGTTGAAATCCTAACCCCTGGTACCTGTATGTGACCTTATTTGAAAATAGGGTCTTTGTAGATGGAATCAAGTTAGGGTAAGGTCATGAGGGTGAGCCCTACTCCAATATGGCTAGCACTTCCTCATAAGAAGAAGAAAACACCATGAGAAGATATAGATATGTAGGGAGCATGCCATGTGACAACAGAGACAGAGATTGGTGAGACACTGCTGCAAGCCAAGGAATGCCAAAGATTGATGGCCACCACCAGAAGCTAGAAAGAAGCAAGGGAGGATTCTCCCCTACAGTTTTCAGAGAAAGTGCACAGCACTACTGACATTTCAATTTTAGACCTCGAGCCTCTAGAACTGTGAGACAATACAGTTCTATTTTTTAAGCCATCCAGTTTGAGATCTTTGCTATGGCAGCCCTTGCAAACTAGAACACCTGCCACAAGAAGTTTCTCACTGACCAACTAGTTCCTTCCTAACATCCCCCAGCCTCTCTCCAAGATACCACTATGTCTGTCTCAGAAACATCCTCTGTCCTCAACTCCCCGGTGTTTTTATATAACGACTGAAAAAAAAATTACAGATTCCAGAATGCCATTTCAGTTTGTATAATTTCAAGAAAAAAATTCTGGAGTTTCATTCTTATGAAGTTGCTTAACAATAGAAAGCATCAATTGTATGATAGCTGTGATTAAGAGAATGTTTAATTTCTCTAAAGCATCTCCAAGCATAAATTTGGCTCATTCTTTTTTTTAATGGTGTCAATCCTGCAGTAAAACCTCTTGCCGAATTTTCCAATTTCAATTTAATATGTTTTCATGCTATATTGACACAGTCATCTATATATTTTATACTGGGGAGAAAAAGAAACAGTTCTTTTCAAAGCCTAAGATCCGGTATGTCTTTTGGTTTCCTAAATAAATATGTTTCTTGAGTTGAGTTGAATAGAGCTGAATTGGATTGAATTGAATCAAATCAAAGCAAATTGAATTGGGGAACTATGCTTCACTTATTTAGTGAGAGTTTGCTGTAAAGTAGAATAAAAAGTGTAACTTAAAGAAATATTCTATTTTTATCATATGTGCACTGTTACTATTAAATAATCATTCATTGCTGCCCCGTTACTTTCTCACTGTTCTCTATTAGAATCCCAGTGTATGGAGATAAATTTATAATTGTACTTTCTGGTGATGCTTTATGTTAGGAAATGAAATCAAAGTGATGCATATTACACAGCCTGCTCATTAGAATGAAGGTCAATAATCTTCTTGGACATTTTTTGATCTCCATTTTTGTGCAGGTGAGCTAAAGTTATATAGCATCCCTGGATTTAAAGTGCTGATTATTATCGACGTGCAATAATTTTTAAACAAGTAAAACCAGAAAACAGTATACGGTTGTGGTACTAGAAATGGAATGCTAAGTTATGCAATGAACAAATGAATAATATTTTTTCCTCTCAACATGAATTCTGGTAAAGTTGGGAGACCATGCCATGTTTTCAGTATTTCAGCTCCATTTTGATATGCTTTTATCAGTACTTCTGTCTACTGCACAAATAAATATATGTAAATGTGTACACGTAAATATAAGTGTTGGTTACAATTCTTATTTTCCTCTATTTCTTATGCATAATAATTTTTGTTTATGAGAATATGACTTCCTTAGAGGAGAACAAAATGCCATCAGACTCATCCACAGTCATAATTGTTCTGTGTTTTTCCTTTCAGCTTTCTCTTCCCATGTGTCTCCTCCCCTTACCCATTTGCTAAGGATCATCTTCATACCCTGTTGCTACCCATCACCCCACCCTGGGTCTTTATTCTCTGTTCCATTTTCTTCATTTTCTAAGTGTTTACACTTCACAGAATTTTCTAGAGTTGTCTATATGCACATATTTGTATCCAGTTATCCCACTAATACTCTCACTCTTTGCCAGTCTAACTTCC